>NC_000010.11:49688549-49840064 GCF_000001405.40 Homo sapiens
GGCCCCCAGCTCACTCAGGGGAGAAGCCAAAGGCTCACATGGCCCTCTAGGCTCCTTATGGCCCCCCTGATCTCACCCCCTCATCTCACCCCCTCCTGCTTCTGCCTATCCTCTCCCTGGCCCGCTGCTGCAGCCACAGCCACCTCCTGCAGTCCTTCAATGATCCTAGCCAGCTCCCACCTCAGGGCTTCACAGCCGCTCCGCCTGGAACGCTCTTTCCTACGTGGTCTTCAGCTTCATTCTCTCAGTCTCAAGATATTCCTCAAAAGTCACCTTCATGGGCAGGCCTTCCTTGGGCATCCCAACAAAAATGTCAACACTTCCCTCTGCCTCCCTCTTCCTGATCTCCCTTCCCTCCTTATTTCTTCTTCTTGCTCGTAATTACCTACCTCAGCACGCACTCACCTGTATACCTTGTTACCCTTCTCCCCCACTTGGAGGCATGCTTTGAGGAGGGAAGGGGCAGGAGTTCTTTTCTGGTTCTGTTCTCTGCTGGGTCCCAGCCCAGAGCTGTGCCTGGCATATTGTAAGAATAAACATTAGTTAAGAAAATCAACCTGCGTAAAGCCGAATGCTAGAACCACAGGAGGCAAGACTGCGGAGGAAGCAAGGAAAGACAGGACTGGAGATGGCAGGATGATGAGACAGCCCCCCGAGGGCAGGGTGTGTTAAGAGGAGCAGCCTGTGGAGGAGCAGGGGCAGAGGGAGGAGAGAACTGGAGGCATAAGGGGGCAAGCGATGGCATTTCAGGAAGAAAATTACCAGTGGGCTCCAAACTATTGAGTAGAGGTGATTTCTAGGAGAGAAGAATTCATGGCTGATGAAAGACTGAGAAAAAAAGTATTTTCCTAATTTACCCTCGGCGGGAGAGTAAATTGAACTGTCACCTTTAGAGGACAACTTGGCAGTGTCTGTTAAAATGTGATCATATACTGTAGAATCCAGCTGTTCCATTTCTCAATATCTTCCTTATAAAAGAAAAAACAAACCTCACACACGCACTAGGATGCATGCTGTGAATGTTTTCTACAACATTCTCAGCGATAGCGAAAAATTGGAAACAATCAGAAAAAGGAATGGGTAAATAAATTGTAGTGCGTACATCATGTAAAATCCTACACAGCGCTGAAGAAGAATGCAGCCACTCTATGTGTGTGACAGGGCTGGGGCACATGATGCACTGCGAAGGGAACAAAGCATTGTCCTGAATGCCATGGTCTTACTGCCACTGAAAAAGACAGAGGGAGAGAAGAATTAGGGGTCATTTTTAAAATGTTGTCCTTTTCTATAATTTTAAAGTTTTTTTAAAAAAGTATTATGAATCTTCATTACATTGATAACTTGATTTTTAAAATTTAGAGATCAAAAAACATATTTGTTTTTACCATCAAAAGTATTTTAAAGAAACAAGAAAGGAGGTGGGTCCGAGAGGGATGGGGAGCGCTGGGAAGCCATTGAATGTGCGATGGTTTCCTGACCTCTGAGACGGCAGGCTCTGGACTTGGTGAGCTGAAGGCTTCCCTGCAGGAGGTGAGCGGGTGGAAACACAGCAAAAAGCGAAGGCAGCAGGCGCAGGTGGCTCTTCCCACAATAGGGGAAGGGAAGAGTATTTGGAGAAAGAGCAAGAGGAGCATTTTTATGGCTGAAGGAGACTTGAGGGTTGCAAGGTATCAGTAGGTGGTTGATTTGTAAAGTCAGTTCTGTGTTTCGATGAATGATAAGTCATGTAATACCGGCAGCCAACAAGGGCCAGGGTGTTCACCGCAGCAAAGCAGGGAGCATCTGCACCCCCCCACAACTTTAGATCCAGCACTCACCGCACAGCAGGCAGAGAGTGGTACCTTTGCAGGCCCTCCTCTGTAAAATCTGCATCTGAATTCTCTGTGTTTCTTTTAAAATTACAGCTCTTTATCATTTCCCGAAGCCCTGCTGGCTTTAGAAATAGGCCTGATCTTTTCTGAACTTACCATGCCTTTAGCAATCTGAAAATTTTTGTTCTTTCTTTATTATCCATGAATTATAATAACTCAGCAAAATGTTTCCACTATGGCCTCAATGCTGGTGAAGCTAAACTAATGCTTAACAAAAAGTTCTAAGTAATTTCCCTGGCCACACTTGCCCCTTGCATGCTCTACTTAAGTTTGCCAAATGACCCACTCAAAGGGCTTGGAAGGAATTGAAACCAATCCATAAAATAGAATCCACCCCACGTAGCTGAGACACTCTGTGTGGCATTCTCCTGTGCTAGCTATGCATCAGCGGCCCTTGCGCGGGGGTGTGTGTATGCCTCTGTGCTGAGTAGAGGAGGGAGAGAGGTCTGTTTACCTCTGCTTCCTGACCAGCGGCATTTAAATCATTCGCAGATGCTGTGCAGTTCCACCAGCACCGGCAAGGAGGGAGCCTTTTCCATATCCCTTTCGTTTATTTAGATCCCCCTTGAAGAATGAGGTGCCACTTCAAAGAGGCAGGCGGACTGCAGGTGGCCTTATAGCTTCTGGTTGATTTATGCTGGAGTTTACCCACTGCCTTCGCACAGGCTTTGTTTCAGGGAGTATATTTATCTGACCTTTCTTTGACTAGACAACCCCACAGCAGCTCATGGGAGGAAATGGGTGCTCCGTGTAGAGAAGTGGCATTTGGATGAGCTGCAGGAATTCCGGGGTGTCTAGTGTTTGATCCCTTAAGCCTGCACTGGCCACCTTAGAGCCAAGCCAGCTCAACACCTCCCAGAGTGATGGGAAGGGAATGTCCTGGGGCTGAATATTCAATGTAGACTCTGAGGTAGCTTGTTGCTTTAGCAAGAATCAGACTTAGGTCACTCTGTGGGTCCAAAAGTGTCGTGGGCAGTGCCCAGGGCCATTCTGTGTTTGCTTCTTCAGTGAGCCTCTATTAAAACCAGGCACTTGGAGATAATTCTGGTCAGTGAGGAAGACACATGCCCTTTAAGAGCACGAGAGCCTGTGCTTTGCAACCCTGTAGAGGGCAGAGTGAAGAGTGGTGTGTCTCTTAAGAGGGTTTCTTCCTGTTGGGCTTCATTTGCTCGAAGATGAGGTGGACCCCCATTATTCGGCACCCCTCAACTCAATAGGGTAAGTGATTCGGTGGATCAATTCCTGTTTCTGAGCTACACCATGCCGTATAAGTGCCACTGTCCTCTAAACTCCAAGCTCAGATGCCACGTGAGGCTCAGTCAGCAGGCCCTGCAGGAGGGCCAGGGGCAGGCTACAGTGTGCTCGCCTCCTGGGGCCTCCACCCGTAGGGCTGCTCCTTGCCCACAGTCCATGCACCCTCACTCCTCCAGGCCTTAGAGAGTTGGCACTGGGTGTTAACTGCCGAGTGGCAGCACCTTGCCTCACAGGTGGAGGTTGGGGGGTGCGGGTGTAAGGTGGGAATGGAGAAGTTGTTTTGCTCCTGATTTCTTCCTATCAAATTGAAGTCCATCCTCCAGGAGTGTCTTCAGACAAATGCAGCTCCGCCGTCCTGAGGGGTTGCTGCTGAGGGAGTGTGGGATCCCAGAAATCTCTGCCCATGGACTGCCTTTATGTCTCCCTAGATGATCAGCTGCCTTTCCAAACGAGCTGGACTGCTTCATTTAAACAAGTCGTGGGTCCAAACTGAGTGCCTTCTTCAAAGACGTTTAAGAACGAGACACTTAAACAGGATGCAATATCATAAATATGCCAATGAAAAAGATGCAGGCATTTTTTTAGAGACGCATTAGCTGACATGGGTCAATTAGGGCCGCCTATGGGTACCCAGGGAGTGCTGTCTTGTTAATGGAGATCCTTGCTGAGTCTCTTTCTGAAGTTCCTTTCCAGAAGTGAAATTAAAATCGCGCAATTAAAATGTTCACAGTTGGGGCTGGATGTTCTTGAACTGATTGAAAGATGAAGAAGTGGACACACCAACATTTTGAAACAGCAATTGTCTCTGTAATTAAATGCAATTAACTGACATAACTGTTTGCTTTACTCCGTGTAAAACTGATTGAAATGGCAAGACTTTAAAGAATATGCCCCCGTCTGTTTTCTCTTTCCATCCTAAACAAAATTCTCACCAACATATGAAGACCAACAAAGGTAATGATCGGCACACCCACTCTAATATTGATGTTATGGGTTAAATATATCCAGGAAAGTGGGGAGAAATACATTGGAAAAAATAGAGCTCTAGGCTGTCCAATGTACATCATTTCTTCTAATCCACACACCTTTGCATTTCCACAATAAAAAGATTAAATCTGACAATTATTCCATAACTGTTCTCTGGGGAAGGAGCCATTGAATGTAAGTGATAATCAAAATGCAGATTCCAAAGATGAGAATAAAAAGTTAGTTCATTAGCTTTTCTAAAAAACTTTTTTTCAGATTATTATACGCAATCTGGAAAATGCTGAAAGAATAAAGAGAAAAAAGTTTCCCATAATCTCACCACAGACAGATAATCAATAGGTATTTTCTTCATCCTTACATACATATTTGAATTCATATTGACTATATATTTTAAACATGTATTATATATATTTGTATCCTAAGTTTTTGCTTATATTGCATGTATTTTTCTTGCCATTAAAAAAGTTCATGAACATTTTTATAAATGTCCAAATAAAATCTCATCACATGGACATTCCACCGTTTATTTGGCCGTCCTCTCATTATTGGATATGTAAGTTATTCACGGTATTTTGCTGTCATAATAATGGAGAAAAGACATCTTGTTGCAAAAATCTGCCTGTATTTTTTTTCCTTAGGAAGCTTTCTTTTAAGTGTAATTTCCTGGACTAAAGATTAGAATCATTTTTTGAGGCTTTTGGTACGTACTGCCAAATTGCCCTCCAGAAGGTGTTCAATTTGTACTTTCATCAGCAGAGTAAGAAGTTGCCTATTCCCCCAAGTCTTCTCCAGCACTGAGTGTGGTCTCTATAAGATTGAGCCTCTGGAAAGCCCAATAGCCCTTTACTAGAGGAAGCTCATTGTTTAACAGATCACCTTGGTGTAGGACAAACCGCAACTGAAACCTGAATTACTCAGGCCTCTGGCTGTGCTTCCCAGCAAAGGTGAGGGCACCTGGGGCCAACACCCAGAAAGTGCCTACCAGGGCAGTTGAGTGATACCCATGAGCAACTAGATGGCAGACAAGCTACTGTCATCATGAGGACTGCTACCAGTCAGGTTAGTTTGAAGTCTGACCCCATGTCACTCACCTCCTTTTCTTTCCTTCCCAGCTGTGTTGGCCATAGATGGACATGAGGTCATCCTAGAGAAGATAGAAGACTGGAATGTGGTGGAACTCATGGTGAATGAAGAAGTCATCTTCCACTGCAACATTAAGGACTTGGAGTTCGGTAAGCCCTTTGGCGATGCTTCCAGCCAGCAATTTGCCTCCTCTGAGGAGTCCCTCAATTTCTAGTTGAAATGATCAGTGTATCATGCCTGGATTCAAATTGGGTTTCTTTCTGAGTTTGAAACTTGTACTGAAAGCCCTGTGCTTTCAGTGGCACACACAGGAGAGTATCCAAAACCACACAGTAAAGTGTGTGATGCTACGAGTTTCCCCAAACATTGGAAACAGGAAGGAAAATGAAGTGAAGCCCTGGACTTCGAGGGATGTGATGGAATTAAGGGATAATAGGTTTTTGTACTTTAATAATATGTATTCTGTTATTATTTGCTTTCGAAGCTGCTTTTTTTCCACTTGTTTATTCTATCTAGACTTGCTAAGACACTGAGTTGATATGCCAGCAGTGCATGACACTATCAGCAACATTCAAATGAGAGCTTCTGGCCTGGCAGGCTGGCACTGTGCGTGCCTCTCTGTGCTCAGAAGTTAAAGCTTTGCAATCCACTAACACTCTATTAAAAACTAGTTAACATTTTACCAGCCCATGGCCTTTGAAAATGCACTCTGGGTGGAAGCCATAGGTATGTCTGATATGATAACAAATTGTATATAAAGCTAACCAAAAGACAATTATATCTGTTTCCCTAGGAGGCGATGGTAAACTAGACCCACTGTGTGAAAAGGCCAGGATAGCCGTGCTGAATGCCTACTGATCTCCTCATGGAACAGGCATCTCAAGTCGGCACAACAGCAGCTGCCCCAGCCATTCTATGATGCAGGCAGAAGTGGCTGTGCCACGGTGTGGACACTGGGCTCTGCTAGTCAGAACAGGGCAACTCGGGCCTGACCTCCAGCTTACGCAGCCTCAGGATTGTCACCTGGCTGCACAGGAGCCCACAGAAATAATAAAAACCACATCATTTATAACATGTCTCAATCTCAACCCATAGGGAGAGCCCTCCAATATCAGGTACACATTGAGCTGAAGGAAACAATAAAATGCAATCAAATAACAAGGTGCCATTCCTGACTAATAACACATAGTTGCCAGAAGCATCTGAGATTCCATTGTTTAGTACTCAAAGTGCTCAGAACAGGTGAAATTAAAGAGAGGTTGGGGGAAGAGTGGGAATAAAGGCTTTTGAAAGTCTGAACCAAAAGCAAATGTTAATATTTGGAAACCTTGCTATTCCTACAGATTTATTTCTGACTCCTGAGGGAATAAATATTTTAAATTGCTATTATAAAATTAGCCAAAATCAAATCTTCAATTTCTCTCATCTAAAACAAGAAAATGACCTGCCTTCTTTTGCATTAATATCGTCTGAGGAGGGCGCAAAAGAGTCCTCAGCAGAATGTGAGATGGTTCCCTGGTCCCTCTGGAGTAGAACACAGCCCCATAGAGTTAAAGAGGGTTTTCACTATGTTCAGTGTGAAAATCAGTCATGTCGAAATGATATTTTTACTTTCCACTCTTACGCACCAATGTGTAGTATATATTCTTAACTATAGAGTAACAGAGAGGGGGAAATGCAGATATTGATCTAATGACGTCAAATGGGAGGTCATGGTAAGAAGGCCTCACACCTACGGGGAGAAAACCAGATTCCCTAACAGAAAACTCTGGACCCGGGGCACCTGTGCTGAAGGAGCAGGGCTTTCAGGATCGCTCAGAGACCTGCGGCTTCACCTGCTCTGAGAGCAGTCCTAACCATCGCCCCAGGCAGCCTCAAACCCTCCTGCACCCCAGAACTTCAAAGACCACTGGGGACCATGAAACTGCTTGCACAAGTTCCTTCTCACACAGGACAAAGTAGGGGATATAATTTTTAAAACCCCAGCCCAAGCTTCACTTGTCAGAGTTGATTCAGGGATTGTGAATCACTTAGAACTCTATGGAACTATTTAAGCATCTCCTTACTGAGAAACTGAGGCTCAAAAGAGATTCTTCCTCCCAGTGTCTGGTGCTGGTTTTCACATATCTTTTGTAACCCTACATTTAGTCCCTTTTTTTCAAAACCCAGTTTAAGTTACTATAGATGTAGCATTCAATCTTTGTTTCAATATAACATTTTACTACAAGAGAAATCCATTCTCATTAAAGAAAAATGGAAAAATACAGGTAAAAATAAAGTACAACTTTAGTAACATTTTTATATATTTCAATTTGGGTTTCTTCTGTTTATGTCTGAATATTCATAAAGAGATAGACATATAGAAATTGACTTCATCCATTTGAGATTTATGCACAATTTTGTAAGTTTTTAAAAATTTTTCAACTTTTATTTTAGATACAGGGGGTACATGGGCAGGTATGTTGAATCTTTTTTTAAACGTAACATTTTACATAGAGCCTCTTCCCGCATGATTTGTTGACTGTCTGAGCATTTTATCTTGAATCAGGAAATCTCTCCCTTGAGCTGTGATTTCTACTTTCATGGCCAAAACTTTTTCAATGCTGAGAACTGAAATTGCTAGCTTCCCCTGTCTGCATTTGGAGTGGGAACTTCATCTCCAAACACAGTGGAATCCTGTCTCCTCTAGCCCTGCAACCCCGGCATTAAACTGGTAACAAGTGCTTCCCTCGGCAGCCCCATGCCCTCCTCCAGCATCCGCCTCAACCCCGCAGGTTGTATTTGTGCCTTCAGAGTAGCACTACAAGTGAAGAAGACCTGCCCTCCTTGGCTTCATGACCAGAGCTGAAGGGCAGGTAAGGCGAGACAGTACACGGATTCTAAGAAATACCGGAGAAGCTTCTGGGAGATGCCTGTGCCCAGAGCCCTATGTTTCAGTTTGGATCAGAGGCAAATGATGTCTGAATCAGCATTGCTGGGAAAAATCACCGAGGTTTCCTCTGAGCAGTGGGATTGGGGGGTGTGGGGGGCAGGTGAGGTAGAGGGAGGAAGTTTGCAGGGCTATTCTGCCTTCCGTATTGTAAATGTTTTTAGTGGTGGAATTGATTTTCACTTTGTATGTAAGTGTGTGTTAGGGGTACTTTTCAGATAAAAACTTAAAATCAGGGCCGGGCACTATGGCTTTTGCCTGTAATCCCAGCACTTTGGGAATCCAAGGTGGGTGGATTTGTTTGAACACAGGAGTTCGAGAGCAGCCTGGCCAACATGGTGAAGCCTCATCTCTACAAAAAATACAAAAATTAGCCAGGCCTGGTGGCATGCACCTGTAGTCCCAGCTACTTGAGGGGCTGAGGCAGGAGGATCACCTGAGCCCAGGAGCTAGAGGCTGCAGCGAACCTAGATCACGCCACTGCACTCCAGCCTGGGTGACAAAGTGAGACCCTGTCTCAGAAAATAAAATAAAGATTTTGACATAGAAGCCACCTGTCTATGGCCTTATCCTCCTCTGTCACTGATTAAGAGGAACTTTCTCTATGGAAATCTCTGAAGAATGTGCTGTCATCCTCCTCCTTTGCCTCCCTCTCTCGAGCACGCACCTCCCTGCCCAGAAGCAAGAGACACAGCTTGCTCCCCATCAAAGGCAAAAGTGCCCTGTGCTTCAACGTGCTAGACATTCGGGCGCCTTCATGCTTTTAAAATACCACTGATTAAATCACATTTTAAGTTTTATAAGATGTCAAGTCAATGTCGTTATGATTAACATGTAAAGAAAGTGTATTTTAAAATAAAGTTAGAAGCATAGCTGTGTCTTAATTTTTTTTGTTTTTGAGACAGTCTTGCTCTGTCACCGAGGCTGGAGTGCAGTGGCATGATCATGGTTCACTGCAACCTCTGCCTCCTGGGTTCAAACAATCCTCCTGCCTCAGCCTCCTGAACAGCTGGGATTACAGGCACTTGCCACCAAGCCCAGCTAATTTTTGTGTTTTTAGTAAAGACGGGCTTTCTCCATGTTGGCCAGGCTGGTCTCCTGACCTCAAATGATCCACCCACCTCGGCCTCCCAAAGTGCTGGGATTACAGGCATGAGCCACACCAAGCCTGGCCCTTAATTATCTTTAAATGAAATTTGGAGTCTCTAAACTTTTTCCATTTACTTCTAAAATTTAAAAAGAATAGATTTTCAAGGGGCCTTCCTGGGCTCCTCCCTGGGGCCTTATTGGCTATATCTGCTCCCTTGGTAAGATTGCCCTTAAAATCTGATGATTGGCTGGAGGCTGTGGCTCACACCTGTAATCCCAGTGTTTTGGGAAGCCAAGAAAGGACATTTGCTTGAGGCCAGGGGTTCCAGACCAGCCTGGGCAACACAGTGAGACCTCATCTCTACAAAAAGTAAAAAATTAGCTGAGTGCAGTGGCATGCACCTGTAGTCCCAGCTATTTGGTAGACTGAGGTGGGAGGATAGCTTGAACCCAAGAGTTCAGGGCTTCAGTGAGCTACAATCACACCACTGCACTCCAGCCTGGGTGACAGTGAGACCCTGTCTCAACAAAAAAACAAAAAAACCTGACAATCCTTGCAAGAGGGCCATATACAAGGGAACTGTGTGAAAAATCAGCTCTCCAGGTAGGTTGCTGGGACATCTCAGTGGTGTGGAGACGAAGGGAGGACTGAACACATGGTGCTGAGGGAGGACTGGACACATGTCCTGAACAAAATCACACTGGGATTTGTTACTCTGGTCCCCTGCTTCAGACATTCATCCCCAGCCCTGCAAGCATTACAGTTAGAGAAAGAGAACATCTCAACTGGTGACAATCAACAAATGCCCTGGGGGTGTAAGGTTTCCACTAGAAACACAGCTGTTGGCCAAATCCAGGTAAAAGACAAGAAAGTGCTAGCCCAGGTCTCGGGCATAAGGCGTGTGGAACTATTCTTCCCAAACTGTCTGAATATTGAAAATGCTGGTGGAAGGGAGCTTCCTATGAGACAGTGGTGTAATCAGGCGCTATAGTGGCAGCTGTGAGTGGATGTTCCCACTCATAGGACGGGGCACTGCACTTCTCCCCCGTGCAAATCAGAGCACACACCCGAGGCCTCCGAAGTCAGGCAGCAGCAGACTGAGGGCACCATGCTGGTGTAAGACAACAACAGGGTGGACAGCGTAGTGAGTGCCAGGGACGTGGGGAGCAGGCAGCTAGGCTAACAGCGGTGGCGGCAGCTCAGCTCTAGTGATGTTGCTGTGCAGGGTATCAATCTTCTGAATTGTTCCAGAAAAGCTGGAAATCTGGATTTTTACTAGAGACTTTTGGTTTTAAAATGTTGGTTCAATTTTGCTTTTTGGCCAACAGTAAAATTTTACTGAAAGGCATTTTTAAAATAGCCCAATAATATGTCAAGATTTATCATTTTTCTTTCTCTTGTTAACTTTTTGTTTTGGTGGCTCAATCTTTTTTTTTTTTTTTTTTTTTTTTGACAAGGCCTTGCTCTATTGCCCAGGCTGGAGTGAGTAGCACAGTCATAGCTCACTGCAGCCTCAAACTCCTGGGCTCAAGCAATCCTCCTGCCTCAGCCTTCCGAATAGCTGAGACTACAGGTGCATGCCACCATACCCAGATACTTTTTCTTATTTTTTGGTAGAGATGGCATCTCCTATGTTACCCAGGCTGGTCTCGAATTCCTGGGCTCAAGCAATCCTCCTGCCTTAGCCTCCCAAAGTGCCGGGATTACAGGCACAAGCCACCACACCCAGTATGGTGGCTCAATTAAAAAAAAAATTGGTGCCAACTGAAAAACCAAAACAACCACATTTGTAGCCCGTTACTGTGATGATCACCTGCTTCTGATCAAGGAGCATGGGATGCTCCTTGCAGGGGGCACTCCAGTTTACACCTTTGGTCTGAGAGTCATTTTCCACATTAATTCCACCGTCACCCTTCCCAGAAGGCCCCTGGCTCTCCTGTCCACAGCTATAGTGTGTGCAGACTACTCTTGTTTTAATGAAACCACTTGACCCAACCATTTGGTTATGTAAATGAAAAAGCAAAGACTATTTGCAGATCTATGAAATAAAGACATTTGAGAAGCTAAGACCTAAAAAGCCTGATTGTTCTGTGATCAGGTACAAGAGGGCCCAGCTGTAGGCAGAGCTCATCCCCCCCGAGATCAGGTTGCCTGAGGGGAAGAGCCTCCAGGCAAGATGTGAGCCTACTTTGCCTGCATGGTCACAGGTCTTTGTGAGCGTGCATGTCCCTGTTCTGTGGATGTTCTGTTTAGAGGAAGTTAAGAGCTGAGACCCAGCAGACTCAACAATGGTGAGTTAGCCCCTCCTCACATGGGAGGAACCTGTCAGGTGAGGCTTAGTCCAAACTGCACCACCGATGTCTCCATAAAAAATACTGAACACCAAAGCTTCTGACTCCAAGGAATCCATTGGCATGGCAGTCCCTCGTCAGCGGACTCCAGGCCCCATTCCCATGTTCTGATTTAATGGGTCTGGGAGGGACCCAGGAATCTACTTCTTTCACATGTGAGCCACCTGATTCCAGTGCATCCAGGCCAAATGCACTGAGAGAAGTGGCATCAGGGTGTTAGGACAGGACTATATTGTCCCTGTAGGTAGCGGTGGGCATTTCCCCCCAAGGGGAATGAAGCTACCTTCTGTCAGTCATTCTGGGAAGTGCTAGGAAGGTTATCCCCCACCCAGACCAGGGAAATGGGATGTTTCTTCCCTCTGGGCCTCATGTTCTTGGGCCTGGATTCCAGGGACAATAGAAAGGCTTGGAAATACTCCGGGTTGGCGGTTGTGAGAGAGGCTGGTCTCTAGAGCATGGCCAGTAAACCATGGGCATGTCCACTTCTCCCTGATTCTCATATCTTTCTAACAGTCACAGCACCACTGGAGCTGTGATGTGGAGATGTCAACTCTTTTGCTAGATCTGCACCTACTCCTAGGGTGGAGGAAGGCCTGGGGGAAGAGAATATACTCCCAGGGTGAGCACAGCAGCAGCAGCAATGGCCTTCAGAGTCTCACCCTGGAACCTGCTGGAAGTGAATCCAGGCAGTGTGGACTCCCAGAGCCCAGAACTATGAGGGAAACCACTGGGCATGCAGCCCCCATCCCTCCTGTCCACAGTAAAAGCACATTAGATGATGCAGGCTGGTCCTTTGACCACACAGGAGGACTCTTTTGAGCAAACTTGGGGTTTTATTGCTAATCTGCCACTTGTACCCTGAACCAAGAAGAGCCAGGCCACATTTAGGATATATATATATGTATATATATGCACATAAATGATGTGCCTTTATTGACATATCTATTTATTAAAATCTGCATTTACATTAGTGAGTCTTTTTCTTTGGATACAAAGCAATACAGGTACTCCTCACTTTACAGATAGGTACACTCCAGCGGAGGGCAGCACTCAAATGCGTCTCTTGAGAGAGAGGAGGGGAGTTGAGAGAGAGGGCACAGCTCCCTAAGGGTGTATCAGGTTTCAGCTCGTTCAATCTGCAGACACTTTCAGCAGAGGCTGAAATGGTCACCTGGAGAGGGAACCTGCAGCTAACTGTCCCTCTGTCACTGATGTGAGTGTGTGCTAAATGGGGGGAAACTAGGTTGAGAACCAGAGCTATATGTTTTGTACAAATTGCTGCGTTTTTTTTTATTAACTTTTATTTTACACTTAGAAGTATATTTCTGAGTTGCTATAACTATTGTACTACAAATTGTTCCCCAAGTCATTGTCATTTTTCATACGTTTTAAGTCTGACCAGTGACCTAGACCTTATTCTACACACAATCAGGGTACCCCAAATTTCTCACAGTTCCTCAAAGTAAACCATAGTCTTTTCTCTGCCTTCCTCGTGCTGCTTCCTCCTCATGGAAGGCCATGCTGTGTTCTCTGGTTGACAAACTCTTGCTCAGCCTTCAGGTCCCTTCTCACCTATCAGGCCCTCCTTGAAGCCTGCCCTGCCCTCCCACCACTCCCACCCCCATGGCACCAGGGATGACCTTGGTGGAGCATCGCATGCCAGCCACACTGGCTTGCTGGTCTCTCCAGTGCCTCTGTGTGATGAGCCCATCAATGACGATCTCTTCTCTTTACCTTTGTGCTCTGGATAAGAAGGGTCAAAATCAGCAGCATGTTGAATAAAAGTGGAAGAAATAACAGTGGTTGGCCGGGCGTGGTGGCTCACACCTGTAATTCCAGCACTTTGGGAGGCCGAGGTGGGTGGATCACTTGAGGTAGGGAGTTTGAGATCAGCCTGGCTAACATGGTGAAACCCCGTCTCTACTAACAAAAATTAGCCAGGCATGGTGGTGGGCGCCTGTAATCTCAGCTACTTGGGAGGCTGAGGTAGGAGAATCACTTGAATCCAGGAGGCGGAGATTGCAGTGAGCCGAGATTGCACCACCTCACTCCAGCCTGGGCAACAGCGTGAGACTCTGTCTCAAAAGAAAACAAAGAAAAGGAAGGAAGGAAGGGAGGGAGGGAGGGAGGGAGGGAGGGAGGGACAGTGGTCAAAACCAGTGGGAAGTTGGGGTGGTTAATTGTATGTATCCAGTTGACTGGGCCATGGGGTGCCTAGGTATTTGATCAAACATTATTCTGGGAGTTTCTGTGAGGATATTTCTGGCTGAGATTACCATTTGAATCACTAGACTGAATAAAGCAGATTCCACCCCCACTCAAGGTGGGAGCCTCATCCAGCCCATACCTCATCCAAATCTGAATAGAGTGAAAGGTGGGATTTGGAGAAATTTGCTTTCTCTGCCTGACTATCCTCAAGCCGGGATGTTGATCTTCTCCTGCACTTGAACTGGGACTTACACCACTGGCTCTCCTGTTTCTCAGGTCTTCATATTTGGACTTAAACTACCACCTACTCTTGGGTCTCCAGCTTTCAGCCAGCAGGTAGCAGGACTTCTCAGCCTCCATAATTGTGACAATTCCATACAGATATAGGTTTAGCTATAGATGTAGATATAGACTATATAGATATACATATAGATCTCCTATTGGTTCTGTTTCTCTGGCGAACCCTGACTAATACAGAAGTCAAGAGTTGAGGCCGCTCCTCAGTCCCAGAGACCCTGACTCCAACTACCTCTACTAACCACCATCTAAGCATGGAGTGTTCTGGTCCATGATGTCTACCAAGTTCCAGCCACCAGATATATGTTGCAGGCATCTGGAAGGAGGAAGGGACAAAAAGAGGGGTTTTCCCTGCTCCCTTCTTTTTCTTTTTTCATCAGGGGCCTACAAGGACAGTGTACCCCACCCCGCTCCCTCAAGGGGAGGGGGGTCGCCGGGGGCCTCCCACTTATTC
This sequence comes from Homo sapiens, assembly GCF_000001405.40. Lineage (NCBI taxonomy): Eukaryota > Metazoa > Chordata > Mammalia > Primates > Hominidae > Homo > Homo sapiens. The sequence goes on from NC_000010.11 coordinate 49,703,074, forward strand.
TACACCTCTCGTGTCTCTTCACCATGCCAGACTAGAGTCAAGCTCAACAAGGTCTTCTTTCCCCGCCAATTCCACCAAGACTCTTCCCTTGGCTGTGGTTTCACCGGATAGTAGATAGGGACAGTGAGAATCTCCACTTCATTAATTCATGCACATCACTAATTAGATGACAAGGCATTCAGCTACTTAAGAGAGTCATAGTTACTCCTTTACCTGCACTTCATTGAATTTCTTCACTTTGGCATTCAGAGCACTGGGCAGAAATTATATCATATCAACACACGCCATGGGCCTTCGCAACACCCCCTCCCTTTTAAGAAGAATTCTCAGAAGCCTCACATGAGCCTCCATTTGCATGACCAAACCTAGCTATGAAAAGGACCGAAAATTGGAGCTGTTTAGCCAAGCAGCAGCGTTCTGCTAAAATATCTTATTAGTAAAGAGATGGAAGGAGTCCATGTAAGGCGACCAGCAGCCCCAGCCACATACTGGCACAAGGTAGGTGCTCACGGAGTGCCTGCTACATGCAGTGAAGGGAACTTGGTCACCACTAAGGTCTTGTGATGCCTGGTCTTGTGATAAACTGAGTGCTTTAGATCTGGGGACATTTCTAGACCGTCCTAAAGCCCTCTCATCATAACTCCTTCCTCCCGCTGGATATAACAGGCAGACTCATCATAAAACATCAACACTCCCTAATTAATATGTAAATGTAATGCTATACCAATAAAAATGCCAGAAAGACTTCTTGAAAACAAGACAACCTGATTATAAAGTTTATATTGAAATATGAACAATAGTAGCCAAAAATAGAATCGAAATCTAAAAATTGACAAACAGAGGAATGTAGTATATGATAAAGGGCCTCTCAAATCACTGGAGAAAAGCGCTCATTCTTAAAATGTGGTTAGGACAATTGGACCACCATCTGGAGGAGCAACGCCATTCCCGCCTGTCCTTATCCTACTATAAACTCCAGATGGAGCAAATACTTAAATGTAATAAAGAAAATCACAAACTTGAAACCTTTCATAAACTTGGAAGAAAGAAGGCCTTCCTAAACATGACTTGAAACCCAAAGACATAGAAGAAAAAAATGATTAAATTCAACTTCATAAGAAGAAAAGTGGTTTTGTGTTTTTAAAAACAAAGCAAATCACATCAAAAGTGAAAATACTTGTGAAAGAAGGCATTTGCAACTCATATCCTTAACCTACAGAGAGCTCCCACAAATCACTAAGAAAAAGGCTAACAGCCCACAGAAAGAAGACAAAAATGTAAGGAGGCAATTCACAGAAAAGGAAACATAAAAAGTACATAAACAGAGGAAAATATGTTTAACCTCATTCTTAATAAGATAAATGCAAATTGAAACTGAGATACTAGGCCAGGCGCAGTAGCTCACACCTGTAATCCCAGCACTTTGAGAGGCAGAGGTGGATGGATCACTTGAGGTCAGGAGTTTGAGACCAGCCTGACCAACATGGTGAAACCCTGTCTCTACTAAAAATACCAAAAAAATTAGCTAGGCATGGTGGTGCACGCCTGTAATCCCAACTACTCAGGAGGCCAAGGTGGGAGAATTGCTTGAACCCAGGAGGCAGAGGTTGCAGTGAGTCGAGATTGCACCACTGCACTCCACCCTGGGTGGCAGAGCGAGACTCTGTCTCAAAAAATTAAAATAAAAAAGGAAATACTAAAACAAAAAATGTTATAGGACTCTGTGTTGGTAAGGATGTGGTAAACAGGCACTTGTGCTTGATAGAGGCAGAGTAAGTTGACAAAATGTCTACAGAGCAATCTGGCATTGTCAAAAAAATCTAAAGCGTATATCTTTATACCTCCCTAAAGGGATTTGTCCTAAAGATACTATCTAAATCTATTCAAAAAATTTATGTGCATACAAGGAAATGCTTGTAATAACAAAAGATTGAAAGCTGCCCTGTATCACTAACAAGGGCCTGGTTAAATAAAACCTGGTTCATTCATTCAATGGAGTCCTATGTGTCCAGTCAAAAGAATGAGAGAGACTTTTGGAGTACTGTTATGGAAAGCTCTCTAAAATATATTGCTAAGGTCAAAAAAGTATGGTGTGGAGGAATATATATACTGTATGATTTATGAAAAAATGAGAAAGAACATATGGGTATGCATTGAATCTGCTTAAAATAGCAAGAAACAGGAAGAAGCTACCTCTAGACAGGGAGGCCTGGGGTGGCAGAGGGACAGCAATGAGCAGGAGATCTTTCACTATACATCCTTTTTACCTTTGAAACTTTGTATATATTATATTACCCATTCAAAAATAATGTTTTAAAAATAAGGCAGTTGTATTTAGATTGACAGAGAAGCCAGACCCTAGCATAGCAGAGGGCCATGGAAGATACAAGAAACAGGAATTGACTGGAAGACTGTTTGGATTAATAAGATAATTCAGTTTGGAGAAAGATCCAAAAGCCACTTGCCTCAAGAAATGGTGCAGGGACAACTGGATAGCCACAGGCAAAAGAATGAAGTTGGACCCCTACCTCACACCATATACAAAAATTAACTCAAAATAGATCGAAGACCTATATGTAAGAGCCAAAATTATAAAACTCTTAGGAAAAAAACCTACAGTTAAATCTTCATGACCTTGTATTTGGCAAATGTTTCTTATATATTAAACCAAAACACAAACAAAAGAAAAAATAGATAAATTGGACTTCATCAAAATTAAAAATGTTTGTCTTTCAAAGAACACCACCAAGAAAACGAAAAAATAACTCACAAAATGAGTTTTTAAAAATCATATATCTGATAAAGTACTTGTATCTAAAATAAAGAACTCTTACAGCTCAATAATAAAAGGACAAATAATTTAAAAACAGGCTAAGAATGGGAAAACCATTTCTCCAAAGAAGACATACAAATTACGACAAGCACAGGAAAAGATGCTCAGCATCATTAGAGGGAAATGCAAATCAAACCCACAATGACATACAATTTCGCACCCACAAAGATGGGTTCTAGCAAATAGTCAACAGGTGTTGGTTGATGGGGATGTAAAGAAATCAGAACCCTCATACACTGCTGGTGAAATGTCAGATGGGCAGCCACTTTGGAAAACAGTCTGGCAACCCCTAAAAAAGTAAAACATTGACCCAGCAATTCTATTCCTAGTATATACCCAAGAGAAATGAAAACATATGCTGACACAAAAAGCTGTACACAAGTATTTATAGCAGCATTTATTGATAGTAGCCGAAGTTGGAAATAACCCAAATGTCCATCAACTGATGAATAAGCAAAATGTGGTCTATCCATACAATAGAATATTGTTCCACCATAAAAAGGAATGAAGTTCTGATATATGCTACAACAGGCATGAACCTTGAAAACGTCATGCTAAGTAAAGGAAGACCATGTATTGTATAAGTCCATTCATATGAAGTGTCCAAATAGGCAAACATTTGGAGACAGAAAGTGGATTAGTGGTTGCACAGCACTGGGAGAAGGGGGACTGAGAAGATGATGGCTAAAGAATAAGGTGTTTCTTTTTTTTTTAACATGATGAAAATGTCCTATAATTGATTGTAGTGATGGGGTTGTACAAGTTCATGAACATAGTAAAATCCATTGAATTGTACAGTTTAAATGGATGAATTGTACATATGTGAATTCTACCTAACTACCAAAAAACGTCAGTTGCCTCCTCCCTCCAAACTATTTGAACAACATTAAAGGCACTGATGCAGTGTTTACATCTATTGTATGTACTGGTTTTGCAAAGATGTCCATATCACATTTACATGAACAATTTTCTGGTGTGTGTATAGTGTGTGCATACTCATTTGCACAAGCAAAAATATGCCAGGAAGAATATTCTTGCCCAGGGTTACCTGAGAGCAAGACGAGTAGGTAGGAGAACAGGAGGAAAACAATCCTTTACTCCTATGTTGTTTGATTTTTTTACAATGAGCACATGCTACTTTGTTAGCATACAACAAAAATTAATAAAAAACAAAAATTGAGCTCCTTTGCTGGCATTCATCAATGATCTAGCCTTGGTCACCTGCCTCACATGGACCATCTCAGATGTAACTCCTGTCTGCTAATCCTCACAAGAGCCCTACACACCCTACAGTGTTTTCTCCATTTAACAGGTGGGGAAACTGGGTCTTAGTGGAGGTGAGGGACCTGACCAAGCTCACTCACATAGGAGAGAAGTGGCCAAGACTGGGGGCAGAGCCCATATCCACAGGATGGACCCCAATGTTAAGCTTTCCCACTCCATCCCTTCCCATCACTGGAATGGGACTCAAGCTATTTTTGTAATTTTCCCAAAACTGACCTTAGGAAGTCTCCATCACCATAATCAATGACAAGCACAACCAGCTACAGTGCCCATATACAGTGAACCAGGTTCAGGCAAAAATTCTCAGGTTTCACCAGAACTTAGGCAACAGCCTAAATAACACCAAATAAGATTCAGAGCAGCTGGTGATCGAGCTCCAAGACTTGACTGATTCTTGTCTTTAAAATGTTCCAGTCGTTTAGCTGTTCAGTGGAAATTCAGCATCACTGAGGAAATGGGTTAAATGAGTTAAATACCCAATTCATAATGAAAAAATATCTTAAACCACTTGTTGATTGTTGTCTTTTCTGAAGCAAGCAGTGGAGTGGCATGGAAGCCAGGTAGCACGCCGCATTTGAATAGTGTGTGCTTCTTGGGAACTGTCTTCAGAGGGATGTACATTTTCCTCTGTTTTGAAAATGCTTCTGAGGCATCTAATAGTATCTCAGTGGTTTTCCTTAGAAATGAAAAAAAAAAACCCATTGACCTCATTGTATTTTTAACTGTCTTAAAGTTTTTCTCAATTTGCTACAAACATTAGTGCTTTATAAGAAGGGTACCAGTATTAGTGCCTGGAGTTCTAAGTGTTTCTAAATGTATTTCTGTACACCACCCAAGTACTGGCCCATCTCCTGGTTCTGTTCATGTGTTCTCCCCTGCACACTCTATTGTCATATCCACAGCTTCAGCTCCACTTCCCAACATCTTTCTCCAGCCCTGATTTCTTTGTTACATGCTAGATCCCAAATCTCAATGGTTAAGTCAGGAAATGTTCATCTTCAAGCAGTTTAAGCCAGCTGCAATTGGCTTAAGAATATAGGAAATATATTGGTTTGTATACCTGAAAAGTCCAGCTATAGGCATAGGTGAATATGAGTGTTCAGTCGACAACAGCAGGACTCTGTCTCCATCTCTTGATGCTGCTTTCTTCTCTGTTGTCTTTGTTCTCAGGCAAGCTCACCCCAAGTAGTGACAAGAGGACCACCAGCAGCTCCAGGCTGACATTTCACCAGCTTAGCAGCCCGTGTAGGATGAAAGTTTCTCCTTTGCAACAGTTCCCACAAAAGACCCAGGACCTGACTTGTACTGTATTGGCCCAGATTGGATCATGTATCCATTTCCAAACCAATCTTTGTGACCTGGGTTGGCCAGGCCTGGATCACATGCTCATTTCTGGACTAGAGAAGAGGGGAACTCAGCCCTACTGAAATCGACAGGACAGATTGTGGGAAAGGGGTTCATTTCACAAAAGGAAAATGGTGGGTCTGTTTCCAGAATAAGGGTGAATAGATGCTGAGTCCCCCAAAACAAAAATTGTCCCACATCTCCCGAACCTCTCCAGCTAGATGTCCCACAGGCAACCTGTGGCAAACCCAACGTGATTCTCCCCAGCTCTGAGTCTCTACAACTGTATTCCCGTGTTGAAGTTATGATCGATGAACTACTTACTCAATTTGGGAACTTGGGGACAGCCCCCACCATCTTCTGAAGTGAACTGATCTGCCCTTTTCTCAACAATGCCAGTGCTTTCGCCCTGCTTTGGGATTTGGCATCTCTTCCCCAAGCTGTTTAACTGGATTCCTATCTCGTTACTCTGTCTCCATTATCTCCTCCTGCAAACCACTCGCCACATGGCTGCTAAAATCATCTTTCCCAAGCATTGATCTGCCCGTTTCTTCCCTGTGCATTTATTTTTTGGCTTTCCATTGTCATGTTATATTTGGGGACCTCTCCACACTGTGAGTCTTGGTGGAAACAGAGTCTTGACATGAGCAAGTAACCCATGCTCCACCAGGGGAATGCACTGGCCCTAGACCTCAACTCTAGGGCTTGTGGCAAAAGGATGGTAAGAGAAGGAATGATGTGTTCTGTGGCTCTGGCAGCGGCAGCTACATCCAGCTTCTGGGGTCAGCCAGGGCAATCATGCCAGCTACGACATCCAGCATCTAGCAAGGTTAATGGGGTAAGCTGCCGTTTCTGGCCTCGGCAGCATGACCATGGGCTCCTTCCAGGCCTGGTTTTGTGGTATGACACGGCCTGAACCTCTGGCTTCAGAGCCTCTCCTTGTGTCCCTGTATTTTATCCAGCCTGCTTCTCCAGCCTTCTAGGCCAGTCCTTGAGATCCTGGTTTCCTCTCAAACAATTCCTTTTGAGCCCATCTCAGCCAGAACCAGCTCTGTTGCTCACAGCTATAAACCTTGACTGAGACACTCCTGTGTGGTTTCAGGAGAAAATTTAAACTCTTCAGCCAGGCATAAGAGACCCTTTACGATCTGAGCCTCACTCACCTGTTCCCTGGCCCACTGCCCACCCCACAGCCCTAAGTGATTAGCAAAGCAGGCCTTTCACATTTACAGGCCTCTGCCCTCCTGGCATCCCCTTCTCCACCTGGTAAATGCTGCCCAACTCAAGCAGCAACTCCTACCATAATCTTTCCCCTTCTCCCTTCTCTCCCAGCAGAACGGTGGGCTCCCCTCTCTGGTTCCCTGCAGCCTTGCTCTGCATAGGCTCTGATGAATGCCTGGCACCCTATATCTGTGTGTGTGTGTGTGTGTGTGTGTGTCTGTGTGTGTGTGTGTGTGTGTGTGTGTCTGTGTGTGTGTGTCTGTGTGTCTTGGGAGGGTCATAGAGCTCCTCAAAGCAGCAGCATGTCACCTCCCCCACGCCCCACGTCTTTGTGCCTCCTACCCTAGAGCCCACCATAGCACTTGTCCCATAGTGAGCCCTCAACAAACACACAGTTAACAAAGGATGGCAATCAATGCTCCATCCTGCCAGCCCTGGACACAACACCCAACAGTTGCTCGAGGGCCAGTGTGGCATTCTTACTTAATAAAACATGTTGGAAAATGTTTGAATGTCTCGGGGAAGAGTGCTTAGTACAAACTGTTGCAGACATTTCCATGGCATCTCTCTCGGGGATTATCAGTTGACCGGCTGGGAAAACTGTCTCCCTCAGGTTCTGGTGGCTGGAAGAGCCTTGTCACTGTGGAGCAGGGAAGACATGGCTGTCTCTTTTGGCCACTGTGGTGGACAGGGGCTGCTGTTGTCACTGCCTCCCTGCCTCTCCCCACTCTCAGTCTATGTGGTCCCCTGGACTCCACACCTTGCCTTGTTGCAGCTGAAACTCGTGTCCAAACAGTCAGAGCACATCGCCCAGGCCACAGCAATCAGCTTTTCTTAGGCCAGTGTAAGTTAGACTTCTTATCACTTGTAATCAGAACTGAAATGTTTTTTGCTACATCAGCCACTAAACTCAACAGTGGGTGCCCAGCAGGATTAAGTGGGCCTCCTCTCACACAGGAAAGGGGTGGCTCCCTGCAGCTCCTGGCACACCCAGCTCTAGTCCGGGACTTGAGTCCCCCACACCCCGCTGCAGTAGCTGATGGCTTTAGCTCCGCATTTGCCCCCTCACCCCCAGGCTCTTCTCTGTCTCACCCACCCCAGCCCAGCCCTTCCCTCCTTCTCCCCATTCCCCAGGGCTCTGCCTCCTCCCCCTTTTCAGGAGTAAACACTTTCCTGTTTTCTCCTCCAGCAGTTAATGCCTCCCTGTGTTTGATTCCAGGCAGACATAGACCACAGTTCTGGAAACTTCACCCTGTTACCTGCTGTAAGCGAGGAAACCATGGCATGGCCGTCATGGATGTTCATGAGTTCTCGGCAACCTGTGAGCTAACAGGCCTTGCTATCCAGACTTTTAAAACTGTGTTTCAGAGAGTGAAGTCACTTGCCCATGGCCCCAAGGCTGGCTGGGGGCAGAGTCAGGGCTCAAACCCAGGTCTACATGACTCAGATGAAGCTGAGATGGGCAAGCAGAGTGCTGATAAGCAAAAGAGAGGCAGTCGAGGAGCCAAGAACACACAGATTCACTTCATGCGACGTGGGGAAGGTGCTAGAACATGTAAGGGCTTTTAGCCAAAGTACAGACATCTAAATTGTAGAGGTTGTCCTGAAAAAAAAAATTGTAACTGTGAAATATTTGGGAAAATAGCCCCCTTTTCCAATATGTTGTTCAGTTTGTCAAAGTGACTGTTGCCATTTTCCAAACAGCTTGACTTGCATGTTATATGAGTTATGGCCCCTCCCATTGTGCTGCACGGACGGCTGCTATGTCCTTCAAAGCACACATTTCAACAGGCTCTAAGATCCCAGCAAAAAAGCGCCCCAAATCCCTTTATTGCAGAAGACAACCTTGGGCACGCCTATGTGTGAGCAAACACTTTGAGGGTTGCTCGAATGGAAGTATGTGTGTCATTTTATGGAACGGGGGCATAGGAAAAAGAAAAGACTGCTGTCTTCTTTGTCAACCACACAATATACACAGCTCAGGGGTGGGGATGCAGAGCCGGGATGTGAATGCCCACTCCCCTCTTGCTGTTTGTAGTATTGAAAACGTACTCAGCCTCTCATTCTCAGTTTTCTCACCTATAAAATGGGGGTGGCAATAACATGTCCCTCCTGAGGCTATTATGAGGATAAAATGAAATGCTGTAAGGAGCTGAGCCCACTGGCACACGGTTAAGCCAGCAGTAAATGTGAGCGACCATCATCCCGGCTTCTTTTGTTTAGGTTCTCATTTTTACTCAAAGGACATACATTGCTTTTCCACCAGGAAAAACATGAAGTTTGGTTTTTAGGATCATCTACAATAAAGCAGCAGCATTTTTTTTTTTGGCCTTTCCTTCTGGGCCCAGCAGTCCTGAGAAGGAGGTGACAGCAAGGTGTTTTCATCTTACACTTCAGCTGAAGAGAGAGGTGACAGAACGCAGAGGCAGATAATGTGTAATGGAGTTCCGCCCCAGCCTCCAAATTTTGAGAATTCTTTCTTGTTATGCTGGAAATTTCCTTGGGTATTTAAAGAGAAAACAGCTCACATCATTCTCTCCCTCCCCCCATCTATGGAGAAAAGCCAGTGAGCCCCAACAGACCCACATTGACTGACCTGGCAGGCACTGAGCCACCACCAAGGACCAAGCACTGTGTCGGGGCTCTGCCTGCACTGCCTCACTCAGTTCCCACCACAGCCTTATGAAGAAGCACCTCAGTCCAGAGGCAGCATGGCTTAGGGGCTCAGTATACGAACTCTAGACCCAACCAGCCAGGTGTGAATCCCAGCTGTGTGACCTTAGGAAAGTTACTTGACCTGTCTGAACCTCAACATATTAATCAGTAGCATAGAAGTAAAGACATGCCTCATAAGGTATAGTGAGGGTTAGGTGGAAGGGATGGAAAATAATGGTGGCCCCCTGGTAAGGAATTGAAATTACTTGATAAATATCAGCTGCTATTATTGTTCTCACACCTACCCAGTAGCAAAGTAGCATGGGCCTCCACAGGTGTTCTGCTCAACATCCAAATCCCCTTCTTCTGGAAACCATACCCCAGTTTTATTTGGAGGCTCCTCCCCCATTCATTGTACACAGTCTTGGGTAAACTGTCAATCAAGTTAACCCAAGAAAGACATGGATAGCCCCAAAAAATTGCCAATCAGATATTTTCTCTTGGAACTTGGCTGGGCACAGTGGCTCACCCATGTAATCCCAGTACTTTGGGAGCCTGAGGCAAATGGATCAGTTGAGGTCAAGAGTTTGAGATTAGCCTGGCCAACATGGTGAAACCCCATCTCTCCTAAAAATACAAAAATTAGCCGGGCATGGTGGCGCATGCCTGTAGTCCCAGCTACTCAGGAGGCTGATGCACGAGAATCGCTTAAGCCCAGGAGGCAGAGGTTGGAGTGAGCCAAAATCACCCCACTGCATGCCAGCCTGAGTGACAGAGCAAGACTCCATCTCAAAAAAAAAAAAAAAAAAAAAAAAAAAAAAAATATATATATATATATATATATATATATATATATATATATCTATCTATCTTCGGGGCCAGAAACAGGACAGAAGTGCAATTTCTGACAGGTCAGACAAGTCAAGTAACTTTCCTAAGATCACACAGCTGGGATTCACACCCAGCCACTTGGGTCTAGAGTTCGTATACTGAGCCCCTAAGCCACGCTGCCTCTGGACTCAGGTGCTTCTTCATAAGGCTGTGGTGGGAACTGAGTGAGGTGGTGCAGGGAGAGCCCCGACACAGGAGTGGCAGTAGAGAAGCTGCAAGGATCCTGAGCACTGGCTCCAGGGCAGGGAAGGAACCCAGGAGCTTGGCTTTCACAGGGTAATAGGACTAAAAATATCCCACGTGAGGCAGAGGGCTTGCAGCAGTTTCTCTGCTTAAAACCAGTGTTGGGATGTGGATCTACTGGTCAGGAAATATGGCAAAAACAAACTCTGACCTACTACCTGGAACACTGGTTTATTTGAGGTTCTGGACTTAAAGAGGAGGCTAGATAAAGAACTTAATCAAGATCACCTGCTGGCTTCTTGCCTGGGCCTAGCATCTGTCTAGCATCACCACAGAAGAGAATCCATAAAACTTCATTATAATGTTTAGTCCAAATGAGATTAGATGAGGCTTAGTAAAGACAACCACAAAAACGAAAAACTGATGCACAAGGCAGGAGAGAGATGAGAAACAAAACAACACAAAAGGCCTAAAACACCCTACTCTAAATAAGCCAGCAAATCAACATTCCAAATATAAGGGAGAATGCAAGTACTGAAAAAGACGGCCAACAAGGTCAACCTCGTTGGAACATGAGCTCACTCCAGACAAAATTAGGTTTATAAAACAATCTGACAAATGCTTCACAATTATTATAAGCTGCACCAAGAGATTTTTTAAGCAACATCCATGAAAAATAAAATACTTTTAAATAGGCAGAAATGAAGAATGTATACTACAATGAGAGATATCAAGGACATATGAACAATTTCAAAATCTTAGAAAAGTATAGTCATTGACATTTTTTAAAACTCACTAGATAGGATAAATTCTATATAGAAACTAATAAAGGAAAACATGAATGAATTGGAAGATAGTCCTGGAGAATTCACCCATGACAAGACACAGAGACACAGAAAATAAAAGATTCATTTGAAAAAAACAGCTATGAGACCTGACGTCTACTTTGAAATGTTCTAACACCTATCTAACAAGGGTTACAGAAGCAGGGAATGAGAAAAATAGCAAAAAATACGTATTTGAAGAGATAATAGCTTAAACAAATATAGAATTGAGGAAAGGGTTCTCAGAGTACACTATGAATACGGAGCCAGGACAAAGAAAGATAAATCTACACCTAGAGAATCTGTAACAAAACTGAAGAACATCAAGGGTAAAAAAGGAAATGTTAGGCCAGGTGTGGTGGCTCACGCCTGTAATCCCAGCACTTCAGGAGGTCAAGGTGGGTTGATGATTTGAGGTCAGGAGTTCCAGACCAGCCTGGCCAACATGGTGAAACCCCATCTCTACTAAAAATACAAAAATTAGCGGGGCATGGTGGCGGGCACCTGTAGTCCCAGCTACTGGGAGGCTGAGGCATGAGAAGAGCTACTCCAGGAGGCAGAGGTTGCAGTGAGCCGAGATCACACCACTGCACTCCAGCCTGGGTGACAGAGCGAGACTCCATCGCAAAAAAATAATAATAAAGAAGATGGCCGAATAGGAACAGCTCCAATCTACAGCTCCCAGCGTGAGCGATGCAGAAGACGAATCATTTCTGCATTTCCAACTGAAGTACTGGGTTCATCTCACTGTGGATTGTTGGACAGTGGGTGCAGCACACCCAGCGTGAGCCGAAGCAGGGCGAGGCATCGCCTTACCTGGGAAGCACAAGAGGTCAGGGAATTCCCTTTTCTAGCCAAGAAAAGGGGTGACAGACAGCACCTGGAAAATCGGGTCACTCCCACCCTAATACTGTGTTTTTCCAATGGTCTTAGCAAACAGCACACCAGGAGATTGTATCCTGTGCCTGGCTCGGAGGGTGCTATGCCCACGGAGCCTTGCTCATTGCTAGCACAGCAGTGTGAGATCAAACTGCAAGGCCGCAGCAAGTCTGGGGGAGGGGTGCCCGCCATTGCTGAGGGTTGAGTAGGTAAACAAAGCGGCCAGGAAGCTCAAACTGGGTGGAGCCCCCCGCAGCTGAAGGAGGCCTGCCTACCTCTGTAGACTCCACCTCTGGGGGCATGGCATAGCCAAATAAAAGGCAGCAGTAACCTCTGCAGGCTTAAATGTCCCTGTCTGACAGCTTTGAAGAGAGTAGTGGTTCTCCCAGCACGCAGCTGGAGATCTGACAATGGACAGACTGCCTCCTCAAGTGGGTCCCTGACCCCCGAGTAGCCTAACTGGGAGGCACCCCTAAGTAGGGGCAGACTGACACCTCACACGACCGGGTACTCCTCTGAGACAAAACTTCCAGAGGAACGATCAGGCAGCATTTGCTGTTCACCAATATCCGCTGTTCTGCAGCCTCCACTGCTGATACCCAGGCAAACAGGGTCTGGAGTGGACCTCCAGCAAACTCCAACAGACCTGCAGCTGAGGGTCCTGACTGTTAGAAGGACAACTAACAAATAGAAAGGACATCCACACCAAAACCCCATCTGTACGTCACCATCATCAAAGTCCAAAGGTAGATAAAACCACAAAGATGGGGAAAAAACAGAGCAGAAAAACTGAAAATTCTAAAAATCAGAGCACCTCTCCTCCTCCAAAGGAACGCAGCTCCTCACCAGCAATGGAACAAAGCTGGATGGAGAATGACTTTGACAAGTTGAGAGAAGAAGGCTTCAGATGATCAAACTACTCCGAGCTAAAGGAGGAAGTTCTAACCCATGGCAAAGAAGTTAAAAACCTTGAAAAAATATTAGACGAATGGCTAACTAGAATAACCAATGCAGAGAAGTCCTTAAAGGACCTGATGGAGCTGAAAACCATGGCACAAGAAATACGTGACGAATGCACAAGCCTCAATAACCGATTCGATCAACTGGAAGAAAGGGTATCGTGATGGAAGATCAAATGAATGAAATGAAGCGAGAAGAGAAGTTTAGAGAAAAAAGAATAAAAAGAAATGAACAAAGCCTCCAGGAAATATTGGACTATGTGAAAAGACCAAATCTACGTCTGATTGGTGTACCTGAAAGTGACGGGGAGAATGGAACCAAGTTGGAAAACACTCTGCAGGTTATTATCCAGGAGAACTTTCCCAACCTACCAAGGCAGGCCAACATTCAGATTCAGGAAATACAGAGAACACCACAAAGATACTCCTCGAGAAGAGCAACTCCAAGACACATAATTGTCAGATTCACCAAAGTTGAAATGAAGGAAAAAATGTTAAGGGCAGCCAGAGAGAAACCTCGGGTTACCCACAAAGGGAAGCCCATCAGACTAACAGCTGATCTCTCGGCAGAAACTCTACAAGCCAGAAGAGAGTGGGGGCCAATATTCAACATTCTTAAAGAAAAGAATTTTCAACCCAGAATTTCATATCCAGCCAAACTAAGCTTCATAAGTGAAGGAGAAATAAAATACTTTACAGACAAGCAAATGCTGAGAGATTTTGTCACCACCAGGCCTGCCCTACAAGAGCTCCTGAAGGAAGCACTAAACATGGAAAGGAACACTCAGTACCAGCCACGGCAAAAACATGCCAAATTGTAAAGACCATCAAGGCTAGGAAGAAACTGCATCAACTAACGAGCAAAATAACCAGCTAACATCATAATGACAGGATCAAATTCACACATAACAATATTAACCTTAAATGTAAATGAACTAAATGCTCCAATTAAAAGACACAGACTGGCAAATTGGATAAAGAGTCAAGACCCATCAGTGTGCTGTATTCAGGAAACCCATCTCATGTGCAGAGACACACATAGGCTCAAAATAAAGGGATGGAGGAAGATCTACCAAGCAAATGGAAAACAAAAAAAGGCAGGGGTTGCAATCCTAGTCTCTGATAAAACAGACTTTAAACCAACACAGATCAAAAGAGACAAAGAAGGCCATTACATAATGGTAAAGGGATCAATTAAACAAGAAGAGCTAACTATCCTAAATATATATGCACCCAATACAGGAGCACCCAGATTCATAAAGCAAGTCCTTAGAGACCTACAAAGAGACTTAGACTCCCACACAATAATAATGGGAGATTTTAACACCCCACTGTCAACATTAGACAGTTCAACGAGACAGAAAGTTAACAAGGATATCCAGGAATTGAACTCAGCTCTGCACCAAGTGGACCTAATAGACATCTACAGAACTCTCCACCCCAAAGCAACAGAATATACATTCTTTTCAGGACCACACCACACCTGTTCCAAAACTGACCACATAGTTGGAAGTAAAGCACTCCTCAGCAAATGTAAAAGAACAGAAATTACAACAAACTGTCTCTCAGACCACAGTGCAATGAAACTAGAACTCAGGATTAAGAAACTCACTCAAAGCCAGTCAACTGCATGGAAACTGAACAACCTGCTCCTGAATGACTGCTGGGTACATAACGAAATGAAGGCAGAAATAAAGATGTTCTTTGAAACCAATGAGAATAAAGATACGAACATACCAGAATCTCTAGGACACATTCAAAGCAGTGTGTAGAGGGAAATTTATAGCACTACGGCACACAAGAGAAAGCAGGAAAGATCCAAAATTGACACCCTAACATCACCATTAAAAGAACTAGAAAACCAAGAGCAAACACATTCAAAAGCTAGCAGAAGGCAAGAAATAACTAAGATCAGAGCAGAACTGAAGGAAATAGGGACACAAAAACCCTTCAAAAAATCAGTGAATCCAGGAGCTGGTTTTTTGAAAAGATCAACAAAATTGGTAGACCGCTAGCAAGACTAATAAAGAAGAAAAGAGAGAAGAATCAAATAGACACAATAAAAAATGATAAAGCAGATATCACCACCGATCCCACAGAAATAAAAACTACCATCAGAGAATACTATAAACACCTCTACACAAATAAACTAGAAAATCTAGAAGAAATGAATAAATTCCTAGACACAAACACCCTCCCAAGACTAAACCAGGAAGAAGCTGAATCTCTGAATAGACCAATAACAGGCTCTGAAATTGAGGCAATAATTAATAGCTTACCAACCAAAAAAAGTCCAGGACCAGATGGATTCACAGCCAAATTCTACCAGAGGTACAAAGAGGAGCTGGTACCATTCCTTCTGAAACTATTCCAATCAATAGAAAAAGAGGGAATCCTCCCTAACTCATTTTATGAGGCCAGCATCATCCTGATACCAAAGCCTGGCAGAGACACAACAAAAAAAGAGAATTTTAGACCAATATCCCTGATGAACATCGATGCAAAAATCCTCAATAAAATACCGGCAAACCAAATCCAGCAGCACATCAAAAAGCTTATCCACCATGATCAAGTGGGCTTCATCCCTGGGGTGCAAGGCTGGTTCAATATACGCAAATCAATAAACGTAATCCAGCATATAAAAAGAACCAATGACAAAAACCACATGATTATCTCAATAGATGCAGAAAAGGCCTTTGACAAAATTCAACAAGCTTTGTGCTAAAAACTCTCCATAAATTAGGTATTGATGGGACATATCTCAAAATAGTAAGAGCTATCTACGACAAACACACAGCCAGTATCATACTCAATGGGCAAAAACTGGAAGCATTCCCTTTGAAAACTGGCACAAGACAGGGATGCCCTCTCTCACCACTCCTATTCAACATAGTGTTGGAAGTTCTGGCCAGGGCAATTAGGCAGGAGAAGGAAATAAACGGTATTCAATTAGGAAAAGAGGAAGTCAAACTGTCCCTGTTTGCAGATGACATGATTGTATATCTAGAAAACCCCATCGTCTCAGCCCAAAATCTCCTTAAGCTGATAAGCAACTTCAGGAAAGTCTCAGGATACAAAGTCAATGTACAAAAATCACAAGCATTCCTATACACCAATAACAGACAAACAGAGAGCCAAATCAGGAGTGAACTCCCATTCACAATTGCTTCAAAGAGAATAAAATACCTAGGAATCCACCTTACAAGGGATGTGAAGGACCTCTTCAAGGAGAACTACAAACCACTGCTCAATGAAATAAAAGAGGATACAAACAAATGGAAGAACATTCCATGCTCATGGGTAGTTGAAAATGACCATACTGCCCAAGGTAATTTAAAGATTCAATGCCATCCCCATCAAGCTACCAATGACTTTTTTCACAGAATTGGAAAAAACTACTTTAAAGCTCATATGGAACCAAAAAAGAGCCCGCATTGCCAAGTCAATCCTAAGCCAAAAGAACAAAGCTGGAGGCATCATGCTACCTGACTTCAAACTGTACTGCAAGGCTACAGTAACCAAAACAGCATGGTACTGGTACCAAAACAGAGATATAGACCAATGGAACAGAACAGAGCCCTCAGAAATAATGCCACATATCTACAACTGTCTGATCTTTGACAAACCTGACAAAAACAAGAAATAGGGAAAGGATTCCCTATTTAATAAATGGTGCTGGGAAAACTGGCTAGCCATATGGAGAAAGCTGAAACTGGATCCCTTCCTTACACCTTATACAAAAATTAATTCAAGATGGATTAAAGACTTAAATGTTAGACCTAAAACCATAAAAATCCTAGAAGAAAACCTAGGCAATACCATTCAGGCCATAGGCATGGGCAAGGACTTCATGACTAAAACACCAAAAGCAATGGCAACAAAAGCCAAAATTGACAAATGGGATCCAATTAAACTAAAGAGCTTCTGCGCAGCAAAAGAAACTACCATCAGAGTGAACAGGCAACCTACAGAATAGGAGAAAATTTTTGCAATCTACTCATCTGACAAAGGGCTAATATCCAGAATCTACAATGAACTCAAACAAATTTACAAGAAAAAAACAAACAACCCCATCAAAAAGTGGGCAAAGGATATGAACAGACACTTCTCAAAAGAAGACATTTATGCAGCCAAAAGACACATGAAAATATGCTCATCATCACTGGCCATCAGAGAAATGCAAATCAAAACCACAATGAGATACTATCTCACACCAGTTAGAATGGCGATCATTAAAAAGTCAGGAAACAACAGGTGCTGGAGAGGATGTGGAGAAATAGGAACATTTTACACTGTTGGTGGGACTGTAAACTAGTTCAACCATTGTGGAAGTCAGTGTGGCGATTCCTCAGGGGTCTAGAACTAGAAATACCATTTGACCCAGCCATCCTATTACTGGGTATATACCCAAAGGATTATAAATCATGCTGCTATAAAGACACATGCACACGTATGCTTATTGCGGCACTGTTCACAATAGCAAAGACTTGGAACCAACCCAAATGTCCAACAATGATAGACTGGATTAAGAAAATGTGTCACATATACATCACGGAATACTATGCAGCCACAAAAAATGATGAGTTCATGTCCTTTGTAGGGACATGGATGAAGCTGGAAACCATCATTCTCAGCAAACTATCGCAAGGACAAAAAACCAAACACCACATGTTCTCACTCATAGGTGGGAATTGAACAGTGAGAACACATGGACACAGGAAGGGGAACATTTCACACATGGGCCTGTTGTCGGGTCGGGGGAAGGGGGAGGGATAGCATTAGGAGATATACCTAATGTTAAATGACGAGTTAATAGGTGCAGCACACCAACATGGGACATGTATACATATGTAACAAACCTGCACATTGTGCACATGTACCCTAAAACTTAAAGTATAATAAAAGATAATAAAATAAAATAAAATGTTAAAAGCTACCAGAAAGGAAATATAAATTGCTAAGAGCGCAACAACTAAACTGATGGAAGACTTTTCATCAGCAAAATGAGAGCCAAGAAAATGGAGGAACAGCTTCCAAAGGACTGAGGGTAAAAAAACTGTCAACTTAGAATTTTATGCCACATAAACTATCATTTATGAGGAGTAATAAAAGTTTTTATAACCAAAAAACTAAGAGGGCTCACCACCGATAGATTCTCACTAAAGGCATGGTTTGTTTTAAGGGCCACTGGGTTTTGCTTTAATCAGGTGTGGTAAGACACACAAACACAGAAATGGCTGTCATGAAGAAAGAAGTTTGTTTTACTCATAGCTAGATAGAAACTGGAGGTACCACATGCCAGGCATGGCACGGTGGGTCAGGGGCAGAGGGAGTGAGGAGGAAATGTGGGTAAGAGCCTTTTTATTACAGTTTCTATGGGAAGAAAAGGACAAAGGAGGGGAAGCAGGCTTACGAGTGGCTAGCTTGAATGGTTTCAGCAGGCTTTTAATCCTCATGGGGAATGGAAATGTCCTGAATTATCTGGTACCGGGCCATAGGGTGATTAGGGCCTGTGATTGGGAAATGGGCTCTTCATTGGTTGGTTTGCATACAGAAAGCCTATTCTCGGGGGAGTTGTTTACTAACTCTACAAATTGGTTGGCCCTGGGAGGGGCAGTCCCTCCAGGGTTAGCAATGTCCAGAGATGTAAAAGCATCAGAAAATAAAAAACACGATTACAAGGTGGGTAGATTGTTTGAGGCCAGGAGTTCGAGACCAGCTTCAGCAACATAGCAAGACCCCTTCACTACAAAAAAAATTTTTAAAGGTAGACGGGTGTAGTAACAGGTCCTTGTAGTCCCAGCTACTCTGGAGGCTGAGGCAGGAGGATCACTTGAGTCCAGGAGTTCGAGGCTGCATAAGCTATAATCATACCACTGCACTTCAATCTGGGCAACAGAGTGAGAGTCTGTCTCTAAAAGAAAAAAAAAAGATCAATTACAAAGTTGTATTTCAGTCCAAAGTAAAATAAACCAAGAGAGAAGTTGTGGGATTCAAAATACAATGCTAAGCACAGGGATGAATAAAACATCACTAAATTTAATTAACAATAAAAAATAGTTAGCTGGGCACAGTGGCTCACACCTATAATACCAGCATTTTGGGAGGCCGAGGCAGAAAGATTGCTTGAGCCCAGGAGTTAAAGACAAGCCTGGGCAACATATCAAAACCCCATCTCTTCTTGCACTTTTTGTACAAAAAGCAGAAAAATTAGCAGGACGTGGGGGCTCGCATCTGTAGTCCCAGCTACTGGGGAGGCTAAAGTGGGAGGATCACTTGAGCTGAGGGAGGTTGAGGCTGCAGTGAGCTGAGGTCATGCCAGTGCATGATCCTGTCTGTCTCAAAAAAAAAAAAAAAAAGGAAAATAGCCATATTAAAATAATATAATTTCTGTGTTTAACAATATTGTTTTTAGATAAAAAGACTAAAATGGGAGTTATTCAACAAGTTCCTTTGTTAAAGAAGTTAGAAATACTAAATAACAAATTTTTAAATAAAATCATTCAAACAAAAGAATTATTAAGAATAAGAATGGATACTAAAATGAATATTAATATGTATTGCTTCCAAACCAGCAGATGATAATTCGGATTATAAGAAAATTAAGCCGGGCGTGGTGGCTCACATCTGTAATCCCAGCACTTTGGGAGGCTGAGGTAGGCGGATCACGAGGTCAGGAGTTCGAGACCAGCCTGGCCAACATGGAGAAACCTTGTCTCTACTAAAAACACAAAAATGAGTTGGACGTGGTGGCCTGTGCCTGCAGTCCCAGCTACTCGGGAGGCAGGGGCAGGCTTGAACCCAGGAGGCAGTGGTTACAGTGAGCAGAGATGGCGCCATTGCACTCCAGCCTGGGCGACAGAGCAAAACTCCATCTCAAAAAAAAAAAAGAAAAGAAAAAAGAAAACTAAAACTTTTATTCAACAAAAGATGGGATAAATAGAAAGATAACTTACAGTTTGGAAAATGATACCTGTACCACATGTAACTGTCAAGGCTCAGATTCTAGAATTTATAAACAACTGCTAAAACCCAAGATGAAAAAGTAACAAAGAGCTTCCACTGTATTTGTTATGCTTTATTGTTGTAAAAATATGGAAAGCATGTAGACCAAGACATCAGAATTTGATCAAGATGAGTGGTTGATGGATATACTGATGTCTGTTCTCATATCCTTTTCACTTTTCTGTATATTTTATTTTTTTGAGACAGAGTCTCACTTGACTCACTGCAACCTCCACCTCCTGGGTTCAAGCAATTCTCCTGCCTCAGCCTCCGGAATAGCTGGGACGACAGGTGTGCACCAACACGCCCGGCTAATTTTTGTGTTTTTCATAGAGATAGGGTTTCACCATGTTAGCCAGGCTGGTCTCAAACTCCTGACCTCAGGTGATCAACCTGCCTTCATCTCCCAAAGTGCTAGGATTACAGGCATGAGCCACCATGCCCAGCCTCCTTTTCTGTATATTTTAAATATTTCATAATATTATTTAAGAATTAGAAAGAACCATAAGCATTATAGCAGAATCAAATACATCCCCATTTGATTCCCATTTTTACCTTAATTACCATAGTAGACAGCAAGTGTGGTCACTGTCCCCCCACAACCATGGTCCCAGCGTTGAGACTAGCTGACAGAGATGGTGCAGACAGGGACCCTGGCGAACTCAGCTCTGCCAAGCAAAGATCTCCGACCCTCCACAGAGGAAGATTCCACATAAGTGGCAGGTGTGGTCCTCCAGCTGGCCTCACCCTGGGGAACCAGGGACAGGGACCCACTGGCTGCTGCATGGGGCTCACAGGGAAGGAAGAAAGACAATGCTGCCAACTGGAGCCCCCTTTCTGCTGGCTTCTCAGCACTGCTCACTCCCCAGCACCTCAAGACCTTTGGGCTAGAGATGTCAACACAAGGAAATCCAGTTCAGCAGTTAAGAGGAAGATCAGCAAACTGAAGTAGCATTCATGCCATGGGATGTTTCAGATCCACATTCTATACTGTTTCAGGGAATATAAGCTTCATAGACACAACATTTGTAGAAGTTGCTCCTTAAGCAACAACTTAACAGCAACTCCAATTTAAAACCAAAAAGCATGTCAATACAATCAGAGTGTTCAACTTAGCGCTGCCTAGCTTTCATATTGATCACAAAGCAGGTACTTTTTGGAGGGACCTCACAACATTTTGCTGAACGAAAAAAGCTCAATCTCAACCAGTAACACACTGTGTGATTCCATTTATATAACTTTTTTTTTTCCAAGACAAAGCCTTGCTCTGTCACCCAGGCTGGAGGGCAGTGTCACAATCATAGCTCACTACAGCCTCAAACTCCTGAGATCAAGGGATCCTTCTGTTTCAGCCTCCCTAGTAGCTGGGATTACAGGTGCATGCCACCACCACACCCAACATATATAATATTCTTGAAATGACAAAATTTTAGAGATGGAAAAGAGATTAAAGGTTGCTAGAGGTTAGGGACAGTGGCAGAGAGGCTGTAACTATACATAGGCAGTACGAGTGAGATCTTTGTGATGCTGGATAATAGTTACACAAGTCTACATATGTAATAAAATGGCATTGGCTGGGCATGGTGGCTCATGCCTATAATCTTTGGGAGCACTTTGGGAGGCTCAGTCAGGCAGATCACTTGAGGCCAGGAGTTCAAATCCAGCCTGACCAACATGGAGAAACCCTGTCTCTACAAAAAATACAAAAATGTGGCCCGGTGCAGTGGGTCATCTCTGTAATCCCAGCACTTTGGGAGGCCAAGATGGACAGATTGCTTGAGGTTAGGCGTTCAAGACCTGCCTAGCCAACATGGCGAAACCCCATATCTACTAATAGTACAAAAATCAGCCCGGCGTGGTGGCAGGTGTTTGTGGTCCCAGCTACTCAGGTGGCTGAGGCACGAGAATCACTGGAACCCAGGAGGCAGAGGTTGCAGTGAGCTGAGATAGTCCAACTGCACTCCGGGCTGGGCAACAGAGTGAAGCTGTGTCTCAAAAAAAAAAAAAAAAATTAGCCTGGCATGGTGCCGCACACCTGTAATCCCAGCTACTGGAGAGGCTGAGGCATGAGAATCGTTTTGAACCCGGGAGCAGAGGTTGCAGTGAGCCAAGATTATGCCACTGCACTCCAGCCTGGGTGACAGAGAGCGAGACTGTCTCAAAAAAAAAAAAAAGGTATAAAACTATACACATATTGTACCGTTGCACTGTAATTATATAAAATATACCCACTCGGGGAGACTGGCTAAAAGGTACTCTGTACTATGTTTGCAAGTTCTTGTGAATTTATAATTATTTTAAAATTAAAATTTAAGAAAAAAATCACTTACTTGTGTATAAAGTTAAATAAAATCTATAGATTAGGGATTGGCAAACTATGAACAATAGATCAAATCTGGCCCACCACCTATTTTTGTATGACCTGCAATCTGAGGATAATTTTTATATCTTTAAGTGGTTAAAAATTTTTTAAAAAGAATGTTTTGTGATACATGAAAATTATGTGAAGTTCAAATTTCAGAATCCATAGGAAAAGTTTTATTGGAACACATACATATCTATTCATTTACATATTATCTATACATTACTTCAGCAGAGTTGAGTTATTGCTTGCTATAGAATGAATGTTTGTGTCCCCTAAATATGTTGAAACCTAATTCCCAATGTGATGGTATTTGAAGGCAGGGTTTTTGGGAACTGATTAGGCCATGAAGGTGGAGTCTTAATAAACGAGATTAATGACCTTATAAAGGGACCTCAAAGAGCTCCCTCATCCCATCTGCCATGTGAGGACACAGTGAGAAGATAGCTATCTATGAACCATGAAGCAGGCACTAATAAGACATTGAATCTGCCAGCATCTTGATCTTGAACTTCCCAGCCTCCAGAACTGTGAGAAATAAATTTCTGTTGTTTATAAGCTACACAGACCACAGTCTTTGTTACAACAGCCTGAATAGAGTAAGACATTGCTACAGAAATCATATGGCCTACAAAGCCTAAATTACTTACAATCTAGCTATTTACAGAAAAATTTTGCCAATCCTTGCTATAGAACATTTAGGGACTTATTAATTCACTATTTTGAATAATGCTGAAATGAAAAATCTTTGTACTCATTTCTGTATACACATGTATAAGAATATCTCTAGGACAGAAACCAAGAAATGGAGGTATTTAAATTTTTAATACATATTGCCAAATCTTCCTTCAAAGATGGTGGTTGTAGGGAACAGCTTCTGGTAATGAAAGAGGAATTTGTGTCAGATTAACCCTCCTGCTGATAACATTTACAAAAATCTGGACAAAAATGTAAAAAGAACAACTGTTTGAGGCACTGTAGATCAACTAAAAGTAGGGAGAAATTGATGGGATATGACTACTCTTATGAGAAGAAAAGCAAAGTAAGAGCAAATGAACCCTAAAATAAGCAGAAGAAAGTAATAAAGATGAAGGCAGAAGTCAGTAACATAGAAAATGAAACAAATCGAGAAAATCAATAAGACCCAAAGTAGGTTCTTTGAAAAGAGCCAAAAAAATGATAAATATTAGTCAGACATGTCAGAAAAAAAAAGAGAAGACACAAATTGCCAAAAGCAGAAATGAGAGAAGAGCCATTACTACAGAGCCTACAGACATTGAAAGAATAATAAGGCAATAGTAGGAACAATTCTATGCTAATGAATTCAACAACTTACTGAAATGGAAAAATTTTTTGAAAGACTATGTATTAGTTTCCTAGGACTGCCATAACAAAGTACCACATAATTCCTCACAATTTCTCACAATTCCGAAGACTAGAAGATTGAGATCAAGGTGTCAGCAATGTTGCTTTCTTCTGAGACCTCTCTTCTTGGTCTGCAGATGGCTATCCTCTCTCTGTGTCTTCACATTCACATGGTCTTTCCTCTGTGTATGTCTGTGTCCTAATCTTCTCTTCTTCTAAGAATGCCAGTCATTTTGGATTCAGGCCCATGCTAATGACCTCATTTTAATTGAATTATCCCTTTATAGGCCATATCTCTAAATATGGCCACATTCTGAGATGCTGGGAGTGAGGACTTCAGCATGTGAATTTAGGGGATACAATCAAGCTCATAACAGGTGCAAAAACTCACTCAAGAGAAGACAGATAATACGAGTAGCCCTAAATTTATTTTTTAATTGAATTTATTATTTAAAACCCTTCCACAAAGAAAACTCCAGGCCCAAGTGGCTTCACTGGTTAACTCTACCAAATGTTTAAAGAAGAATTATGCCATGTCCACATAATCTCTTCCAGAAAACAAGAGATGATGGAACACTTCCCAACAGATATCAAAATTTGACAAAGACATTATAAGAAAAAAACTACAGAACAATGTCTCTCATAAACATAGATGTAAAAGTCTTAATCAAAATTTTAGCAAACCAAATCTATCAATATATAAAATAAGTAACACATTATGACCATGTTGTTTATCCCAGGAATGGAAAATACATTTAATATTCAAAAGTCAATCAATGTAATCCACCATATTAAAAGACTAAAAAGAAAAACTATATGATCATCACAATAGACAAGAAACAAATTTATCAAAATCCTACATACGTTCCTTATAAAAACTCTCAGCAAACAGGAATAGAAAAATTGTGCTTAACCTGATAAAGAGCATCCAAGAAAAACCTTTGGTTAACATCATACTTAATAATGAAAGACTAAATGCTTTTCTCTAAGAATAGGCAACTTCTTACAACTTCTATTCAACACATTACAGAAGATCCTAGCCAGTGCAGTAAGGTAAAAATAATAATATAGGCAGAATACATAAAGATTTCAAATGAAGATATAAAACTCTATTTGCAGATTATATGATTATCTTTGTAGAAAATCCAAGGGAATCTATTTTAATAAGCCATTAGAACTAGTAAGCATGTTCTCAGTATGTAAAAATCAATTCCATTTTACTACACTAACAATTAATAATTAGACATTGAAATTTTAAAAATACCATTTATGGTGGCTTTAAAAACTAAAATGTTTACGGATAAATTTAGCTAAATATATGTTATTCTTATACAATTAAAACTGTAAAATGTTGTTGAGTAGAATTTTAAAAGATATAGATACATGCAGGTATAGAACATATTGCTGGATTGTAAGGTATCATTTCTCCTGAAATTGATATATACACAATACAAATCAAAATCCCATCAGGCTTTTATGGTAGTTTTATAATAAATTGTGAAATTAGGTAATGAAAGTCTTCTGCGTTCTTCCTTTTCAAAGTTGTTTTAGTTAAATACTTACACATAGATTTTAGAATCAACTTCTCAATTTCTATAAAACAGTTTGATATAATTTGAATGGAGGTTGTGTCAAATCTATAGATCAATTTGGGAAGGATTGATTCTTAACATGGTATAACTCTCTCCCTTTATTAGAGTTTCTTTAATTGTCTCAGTAATATTTTATACTTTCAGTGTGCAGGTCTTGCACATATTTTCTCATTTTTATGCTATGTAATTGACTATATATTATGTACGCAAAGGTGCCAAGTTAATTCCATGAGTAATGGATAGTCTTTTAAACAAATGGTACAAGGTCAATTGATTATCATCCAGTAAATAATAAATCTGGACCCTCACCTTACACCATATACAAAATAACTCAAAATGTATGTTTATAGACCTAAACTTAAAAGTTAAAACTATTGGCTGGGCACGGTGGCTCATGCCTATAATCCCAGCACTTTGGGAGGCTGAGGCAGGCGGATCACAAGGTCAGGAGATGGAGACCATCCTGGCTAACATGGTGAAACCCTGTCTCTACTAAAAATACAAAAAAAAAAAATTAGCCGGGCATGGTGGTGGGCACCTGTAGTCCCAGCTACTCGGGAGGCTGAGGCAGGAGAATGGCATGACCTGGGAGGCGGAGCTTGCAGTGAGCCAAGATCACACCACTGCACTCCAGCCTGGGTGACAGAGTGAGACTCCGTCTAAAAAAAAAAAAAAAAAGTTAAAACTATTAAATATATAGAAGAAAATACAAGAGAAAATCTTAACATTAGGTTTAAATTTTTTTTTAGTTAGGACACTATGATGGCTAGAATATCTGTGTTCACCAAATTCATATGTTGGAATACTGACCCCTCAGTTGATGGTGTGAAGAAATGGGACCTTTGGAAGGTGATTAGGTCATGAAGGTAGAGACCTCATGAATAGGATTAGTCCTTATAAAAAAGTTCTAGGTCTTCACAGAACAAGAAAAAACAATCCTAAAGTTAACGTGAATGGAACCAAAAAAGAGCCCACATAGTCAAAGCAAGACTAAGCAAAAAGAACAAATCTGGAGGCATTACATTATCCGACTTCAAACTATATCATAAGACCGTAGTCACCAAAACAGCATGGTACTTATATAAAAACAGGCATATAGACCATGTGCAGTGGCTCACACCTGTAATCCCAGCACTTTGAGAGGCCGCGGTGGGCAGATCACTTGAGGCCAGGAGTTTGAGACCAGCCTGGCCAACATGGTGAAAACCTGTCTCTACTAAAAATACAAAAATTAGCCGGGTGTGGTGGCACACATCTGTAATCCCAGCTACTTGGGGGGCTGGGGCACGAGAATCACTTGAATTCAGGAGGCGGAGGTTGCAGTGAGCCTAGATGGTGCCACTGCACTCCAGCCTGGGTGACAGAGTAAGACCCTGTCTCAAAAAACAAAACAAAACAACAACAACAAAAACAGGCTTATGGACGAATGGAACAGAATAGAGAATCCAAAAGTAAAACCAAATACTTACAGTCAACTGATCTTCAACAAAGCAAACAAAAACAAAGTGGGGAAAGGACACCCTAATCAACAAATGGTGTTGGGATATTTGGCAAGCCACATGTAGAAGAATGAAACTGGATCTTCATCTCTCACCTTATACAAAAATCAACTCAAGATGGATCAAAGACTTAAATCTAAGAACTGAACCCATAAAAACTCTAGAAGATAACATTGGAAAAACCCTTCTAGAAACTGGCTTAGGCAAAGACTTCATGATTAAGAACCCACAAGCAAATGCAACAAAAACAAAGATAAATAGATGAGACTTAATTAAACTAAAAAGCTTCTGCACAGCAAAAGAAATAATCAGCAGAGTAAACAGACAACCCACAGAGTGGGAGAAAATCTTCACAATCTATACATTTGACAAAGGACTAATATCCAGAATCTACAAGGAACTCAAACAAATCAGCAAAAACAAAAACAAACAATCCCATCAAAAAGTGGGAGGACATGAATAGACAATTTTCAAAAGAAGATATACAAATGGCCAACAAACATGAAAAAATGCTCAACATCACTAATGATCAGGGAAATGCAAATCAAAACCATAATGCAATACCACATTACTCCTGCAAGAATGGCCATAATCAAAAAATAAAAAAAAGATAGGTGTTGGCATGGATGTGGTGAAAAGGAAACACTTTTACACTGTTGGTGGGAATGTAAATAGTACAACCACTATGCAAAACAGTGTGGAGATTCCTTAAAGAACTACAAGTAGATCTACGGTTTGATCCAGCAATCCCACTCCTGGGTATCCACCCAGAGGAAAAGAAGTGATTATACAAAAAAGATAATCGCATATGCATGCATATAGCAGCACAACTCGCAATTGCAATAATATGGAACCAGCCCAAATGCCCATCAGCCAACGAGTGGATAAAGAAAATGTAATACACACACACACACACACACACACACACACACCATGGAATACTACTCATCCATAAAAAGGAATGAAATAATGGCATTTGCAGCAACCTGGATGGAATTGGAGACCATTATTCTAAGTGAAGTAACTCAGGAATGGAAAACCAAACATTCTATGTTCTCACTCATAAGGCGAAGCTAAGCTATGAGGACGCAAAGGCATAAGAATGATATAACGGAACTGGGCATGGTGGCTCACACCTGTAATCCCAGCACTTTGGGAAGCCAAAGCAGGTAGATCACTTGAGGTCAGGAGTTCAAGACCAGCTGGACCAGCATGGTGAAACCCCATCTCTACTAAAAATACAAACATTATTTTGTATGGTGGTGTGCACCTGTAATCCCAGCTACTCAGGAGGCTGAGGCAGGAGAATCGCTTGAACCTGGGAGGTGGAGGCTGCAGTGAGCTGAGATTGCACCACTGCACTCCAGCCTGCGCAATAGAGTGAGAAAAAAAAAGAAAAGAATAAAGAATGATACAATGAACTCTGGGGACTCAAGGGAAAGAGTTGGGGGGGTGAGGGATAAAAGACTACACACCGGGTACAGTGTACACTGCTCAGGTGATGGGTGCACCAAAATTTCAGAAATCAACCACTAAAATTCATGTAACCACACACCACCTGTTCCCCAAAAACCTATTGAAATTTTAAAAAATTAAATTAAATTAAAAATTTTTTAAAAGAGAGGTCCAGGGGCAGACTTGTTTGCCCCTTCTACCATGGAGGACACTGCAGGAAGGCATCATCTCTGAGGAGGCCAGGCCCTTACCAGACACCAGATCTGCCAGTGCCTTGATCTTAGATTTCGTAGCCTGCAGAACTGTGAGAAATATTACAAGCCACCCAGTTTATGGCATTATGTTATAGCAACCCAAACAGACAAACACAAATGATTAAAAATGATAAATTGAACTTCATGAAAATAAAAATCTTTCACTCTTAGTGAAATTTAAAATACAAGCCACAGACTGACAATATTTGCAAAATACATGTGGTAAAGGACTTGTTTCCAGAGTATATAAGGAACCCTTACAACTCAATAGGGAGCAGACAACTCATTTTTTAATTAAACTTTTGTATCTGATATCACTGTAAATTTGCATGCCATCATTAAGAACTACATCACAGAGAATCTTTACCCATTTTTCTCCAATAATAACATCTTACAATACTCTAGGATAATCACAACCAGGATACAGTGACATTGATACAGTCAAGAGACAGACATTCCATCACAAAGATCCCCTGTGTCTTCTCCTCCTGGGATTCCTGTTAGATGCAGTATCAGCATTGTGAAACTCCTGTGTTCTCCATGTTTCTTTAAAGAATTTTAAAATATATATATTTGTTCTTTGTTCAACTTTCTTTGGAGAATTCCTTGGCCTTGTCTTCAAACTTATTTTGTATTTCAGCTGTGTTTGTTCTGCTATTCAGCCTATCTACTGAGGTTTTAATTTTGGGAAAATTTCATATTTTCTTAACATCCAATTATTTTAAAAATAGTCTGTTATTATTTCATAGCAGCAATATTCTCCTTGCCCTCTGAAGTTACTACA
The DNA here is from genome assembly GCF_000001405.40 of Homo sapiens. Lineage (NCBI taxonomy): Eukaryota > Metazoa > Chordata > Mammalia > Primates > Hominidae > Homo > Homo sapiens. Next base: position 49,732,463 of record NC_000010.11, read on the forward strand.
GTTCATTTAAAGCCTTCTGCTTGTTCCATGAGCTTGTTTTATTTCCCAGGGTTAGTTGTTTTTTTGGTTGTGTTTTTTGAGATGGCGTCTCGCTCTATCACCCAGGGTGGAGTGCAGTGGTGTGATCTCAGCTCACTGCAAGCTCCGCCTCCTGGGTTCACGCCATTCTCCTGCCTTAGCCTCCCAACTAGCTGGGACTACAGGCGCCCACCACCATGCCCGGCTAATTTTTTTTTGTATTTTTAGTAGAGACGGGGTTTCACTGTGTTAGCCAGGATGGTCTTGATCTCCTGACCTGGTGATCTGCCCGCCTCGGCCTCCCAAAGTGCTGGGATTTCAGGCTTGAGCCACCGCACCCGGCATCCCAGGGTTAGTTCTTATGTTTATAGGGTTTGGAGCCGTTTTTTATGTGGTTGGTTTTCCCCAATTTGGTAATCTGGTGGTTGCACCTCTTCCCTTTTTTTTTTCCTAAAGAGACAGGGTCTTGTTACATTACCCAGGCTGGTCTTAAACTCCTGGGCTCAAGTGATCCTCCTGCATCAGTCTCCTGAGTAACTGGGACTATAGCTAGGAGCCACCATGCCTGGCTGATTGTACCTCTTCCTGCAGGAGATGACCTCTGGCCTATCTACAGCCTTCCCGTACCCACACTAAGGAAGGGACTGTATGCACCTTGGGCAGGCCACATCCACCATCTGATCCCCAAGGGCTCCTGCACAGCCCAGGTGCCTCACCAGTTGCTGCCTCAGCCAATCGCAGAGAAAGCCCAGACTAGTGGATTTCTGTGGGGCTAGGAATGCATGGTATGGGAAGAGCTGATTTCCCCAAGGGAAGCAATGTGGTCTTGAGGACAGAGGTGAAGTCCAAAACCACCACTTCCTTAGGAAGTGACCTTGGGCAAATAACTTTATATGAACCTCGATTTCCTCGTCTATAAAATGGAAATATTCCCAACATGCAAAGCCATGGTGAAGATTAGACAGCGTTTAATTACACACGCAAAACATCCAGCAGAAGGCCCAAGACACGACAGACACTATAAATGGGGGCTACAATTCTTTTCACTTTATGTCACTTTGAATGTCCCTGTGGTAGGATTCAAAGTATATCTCAACAAGACATACTCTGTTTTTTTTTTTTTGAAACAGAGTTGCTCTGTCACCCAGGCTGGAGTGCAGTGGCACGATCTTGGCTCAAAGCAACCTCCGCCTCCCAGTTTCAAGCAATTCTCCTGCCTCAGCCTCCTGAGTAGCTGGGATTACAGGCACGTGTCACCATGCCCAGCTAATTTTTCAACAAGCTATTTTTGAGGCTGATAAAACTTAACACTCCACTGTCCAACCTCACGCTGATCGTTCTTTTAGGTTGCTCATGCCAGCCCTATGGTCAGTATTTCTGTCTGTTCCAGAGAGGTTCATCTCTCTTTTCCTCTTCCTTTGAACACCACCTCTTCCAGGGATCCTTCCCTGACACCCACAGCTGTCTGCATTGACTTCCAACATAACTCGTAACTCAATGAATTAAACAGCTGACATGTCTCCCCACTGGACTCCCGATGCGAAAAGCCAGCATGCAGACAGATGCCTTCCACCCGGGCCCTAGTGTCCCGCACGGAGGAAGTGCTCTGAGAAGGGGATAAATGAACACATGATCTGTTCCAAGCAAAACATCCCTCCTCTGTGGCAGCTTCTCCAGTATCTCCACAGGGAAGCAAAACCCACAAAAGGCCAGAGTGGAGAAGCCAACAGACACTACCTGGTGCTCAAATGAAAATCTGGCGTAGTGGCTCACACCTGTCATCCCAGCACTTTGGGAGGCCAAGGCAGGCGGATCACTTGAGGTCAGGAGTTTGAGACCAGCCTGGCCAACATGGTGAAACCCCGTCTATTAATAATACAAAAAAATTAGCCGGGCATAGTGGCGCATGCCTGTAATCCCAGCTACTCAGGAGGCTGAGGCAAGAGAATCACTTGAATCTGGGAGGCGGAGGTTGCAGTGAGCCAAGATCGCACCACTCCACTCCAGCCTGGGTGACAAGAGCCAAACTCCGTCTCAAAAAAATATCCATGGAGGCAGATATTTTCTTCTCTCCATTTTTTTAACTTTCTCCCCATTCCCTACCTTCTCTCAACTGCCTATCCCTCCCCCAGTTTTACAACATGAAATGAAAACAGCAAATCTCTCTGAAGCATGTTTTTATTTCTCTGTGATTTGGTTTTCTACTTTGGTACACATGAGCTGTGGCTGCATTTCACACAGAAGCTGACACATCTCGCAGGAATGCCCCATAAAACAGAGCGCAAACAAATCACCCAGCAGGTTCGCTTCACCTGGCTGTTACTGCTGAACTCCCTACTTCTAAGAGCACAGAAGAGAACATCGCTTTGAATCTACAGATAAGCGAGGGTGGGGCGAGCAGCAGCCAGGGCTGCCGGGATGGGAGCGGCCACAGACACAGGCCCCCGGGTGTCTGTCTTGAGATACAGGTGGAGAAGCCGCCCAAGAAATTCCAGCAAGATGGGAGCAGCTGGGGGATGCTCCAGCACAGTAGCCTGCCTATAGGACTCCTCTGGCTCCCTCAGTCCTGGTAGATTCTGGCATGACACCAAGGCCAGCAGTGCTGGCTCTTGGCCCTGTCACTGTGTCTGTTTTATCCTGGGGCCCCACAGCCCCTCTCCTGGGCAGGAGCTCCGCCCCTCCCCTTTTCATCACCCCCTTGGTCCCCAGCAAACCCACAGCGAGACCTACACAGGTTTTGCCCAGCTCTAAAATGTCTTGCCCTCAAAGGCCTGGAGATTGAAGGCAGTATCCAGAAACTTCTTCAGTGACACCAGGTGAGTGTTCCTGTTTCCTGTGGCTGGTGCAGCCGCTGGGTCCCGGCCAACATACCTGGAGGAGGAGAGACAAGCTAAGGGGAAGGCGGGGCCTAGCCGCCCCCCAACCGCTGCCCTCACTCCGGGACTGCAGGGGGCACGCATCTGAGAACCGCTGACCTCGAAGCCATAGACCCTGCCTTTTGGCCCTGGCACCACTTCCAATGAGCTGCAAAGCCCGGATCAAACTCAGTCACCTAGCCACAGAAGAGTGGGGAGAAACTGTCCCTCCATGTCACTGCACTTGCCCATGAGGACAACAAATGAGGCAACAACTCAAAGACTTTGGGGACAAACATACTTTTGGCTTCTTGGAGTTTCTCAGGACCCTCTCCCATCTTCCCAGGAACACATGATGCCAGTATTGGGAACGCACCATGTGCCAGAGCTAATACATACATCAGATCTAATCTTATCACCGCCCTTTGTAGAGATGCAGGGACTAAGGCTCCAAGGACTACATAACCGGCCTAAGATCTAAGGCAGGAGTTTTGAGACATGTAGCAGGTTCCTTAATACAGTTCTGGCTGCAGAACAAACACAAAGCCAGTACTGATGATGCCCCATCATTGCTCATCACCAGAGAAGGGCAGGGCCAGTTCTGGGTAGCATGGCCTATGGGACAGATGGAGCCAGGACAGAGCCTCAGGGCCGAGGTGAGGGGCAATCAGCGGCCCCACCATGTACCATATGGGCCGTGCGCGCCTCAGGATGGTCATGAAGCGTGGGCTGATGTAGTCATAGTAGCCCATGTTCTTGTGCTCCTCCTGACACCAGGCCAGCTCCGCACCTGGGTACTTCTCTGCCTCCTGCTTGATCAGGTCGAAGGGGAATGGAGAGATCTGGGGAGGCAGAAACAAAGGAGCATAGCCAGAGGAGGGGCGGTATGTCCCCAGCACCCCCGGACAGGAGGCACAGGGCCTCACCGGCCTTCATCTGGCCTGCCTGGCACATTGGCCAGAGCCGGGGCCAGCGACGTGAGCTTGCCCATCACTTGACTGTACAAGGGGTTCAGGCACACCTGCTCCAGGCGCGTGATGGCCACTTTCTCCTCCAGGTCCTGGCTGCTCCGCTCCTTCACCAGGTCATAGTACACCTTTCCCGTGCAGAAGATGAGCCGCTGCACCTGCTCAGGGGCCCGTGCTGCGGCCCCATCTTCAGGAATCACCCGCTGGAAGCTGGTCCCTGAGGGACCAACAGGACATGGCAGAGGCGTTGGTACCCAGAGGGGCTGGGGCAGCTCAGGACCAGGCCTGCATCCCCAGGCTCTCCTTAGCCACTGACACTAACTGCAGGTTTGGACTTGTGGCTGCAGTGGACACCTCTTGAACTAAAAGATGGAGCAGGGGGCAGATGACACCCTGAGCTGTCATAGGGAGAGGGGTGGAGACACCCAAGGGTTGAGCCCTGGAAGCATCACGTTTAAGGTGACCGGAGGTGGGGGTACAATAAGAAGCGCCCTGAAGGAGACAGAGAAGGCAACATGATGGCATCATCCTTTGCCCCAACCTTGCTTCTGCCCAGCTGCGCCCACCTCCTGCAGAGCACTGCAGTCCCCCACCACTAAGCAGATGTCCCAGGAGGCTGCTGCATGCTCCTCCTCTTTCAGCCTGGCAGCTGAGCTTCACCTCCAAGCCCCAACCATTCTTCCTTCCTGAGCCCATGATCCTGACCCCAGGTCACGCACACTGCAAAACCTCTCAGGAAGCTACTGTAGTGTCCTCACATCCCTGCATCTCAGGTGAAGACTCTGGGGTAGAGAGGACAAATGGATCCCAGGCCCTCAAGAGAGAAGCCAGCACAGGGCAGGTAGCCCAGGTAGTCCAGTCCCGACATCAGAGCTCTAACAGCTGCCCACCTGCACAGAGGGGACATCCAAACACACATGGGAGAAAATCCAACCCCTGTCCATGCTGAGGCCCTTCCCAGCCCTCCCTCTACTGCCCAGGACCATTTTCCAAGACAGCTCTGCTCCACCAGCCTCACACCTGTCCTTCCCTGGACATAGTCACCTCTCAGTTGCAACTATAGTGTTTTATCTGATCTGACTCCCAGGGAAATAAGGCCAAAGACTCCTGGAGGGGACACCAGGACCCCAGGGCCTGTAATGTCTGTTTGGCTCATGAATTTTTAAAATGGACAAATGAATGAATGATACTCAATATCTTGCGAACTCAGCAGGCCTCTGCCAGGCCTCGACCAGCCCTGCTAGGGTCTAAGGGGGCCCCAGTGGACTCTACCATGGACGCAACCCACATGACCTGAGCTGGCCCAGGTCAGCCATTGTGCCAACCTCCCAACCCTACTGCTAGTGGGACCATGCCAGGAGCTGCTGCAGGTCAGCAGAGCCACAGGCAGAGGGGAGGTTGGAGAAGCCCCAGAAGCAGAAGCCACACAATGGGCCACCGCCCCATTGTGGGCTACCCCACACACCCAGGCCAGGCACGTACCGGATACCATTTGGTCAAAGCTGGACTTGGCCTCTGGGTGCCTCAGCAGAGATTTAGGTGTGAAGATAATCAGCTGGAAGGGAAATACACGCCCAGCTGCCAGCTGGCCCTGCCTGGCCAGGCCCCCTGCCTGTGACCCCTGCCCTGGGACGGAGACTCACCGGCTTGCGGAAGGGCAGCAGGATCTGCCGGCGCAGCACGTGGAAGTAGTTGGCCGGTGTGGAGCAGTTGACCACGATCCAGTTGCAGTCATAGAGCTGGCTCACCTCGAAGTCCTTGGTGAATGCCTGTGGGGACGAGATGCATATGGCCAGGGTGGCTGTCTGCTGCACCCACACCCTGGACCCCTAGCCCTGTGGGCACAATAGGGCGCGTCCCTGTCCTGGGGACAGCAGCAACACTCACAGGGTAGGCATCCGAGTCATCATTGCTCATCTGCAGGAACCTTTCGGGCCTCGCTGACGAGTGCTCTGGGCCCTGAAAGCAAACGCCAGACAGCCAAGGCTGGACCCCACCATGGGAAAGACATCTGGCCCTGCAGGGACCCCAGGCTCAGGGGAAAGTCTGGAGGGCTTCTCAGCAGAGGTGCCCTCACCCTGGAGCCTGAACCATAGAAAAGAACCAAGAATGTGGAACAAGAGCAGAATGGGAATCCTCAGAGTGGGGTCTGCCCAGAGCTAGCACAGTATGTGAACTTGCAGGGACAGAAGAAAAAGCAAAAAGCCCGCACTGAGACGTGCTTTCTCTGGAATGTCCTGGAACAGTGGCTGCCACTGACTGAGCACCTGCTGTACAGGAGGCAGAGTTCTAGGAATCCCACACGCCTTATCGCTAACCCCCAAAGTAGCCCCATGATGCAGACACTCTTCCCCACTGCACAGATGAAGAGGCAAGGAGAGGGTAAGAAACCACCCATGACCACACAGCCAGGCAGGGGCCAACCCAACTCGGCCTGGGCCTCGCCCACCCTCACCCACACGGACCGCTCTGCTCCATGAAAGCAGCAAGACAAGCCCAGGGGCATCTCCAAGCCAGCTCCTGCAGGACGGGGATGACCCACTGCACAGCTGCCACTTGCCCTCTCTTGGTGGGGACGGCCAAGGACCCAGCCCCCCACACCCAGCCTGGCCCAGATCTGGCCTCCCAAGAAGCTGCCTTCACGGCAGGCAGCCCCAAGCAGGGAGCCTCACCTCCCTCCTCACTGATACCCGGTGTTGTGAGGATGCCGAGTATGCAGCCTGTAAAGTGCTCATAACATGCCACTCAGGGATAATGGTGGCAATGAGCCCCCTGCCTGTCTCCCTTCTGCCTGGTCAGGCCACCTGCCCACCAGATGGTATCACATGACACCCTGCTCCTTCCTCCCTTCCTGCTAGCCCAGGAGCCTCCGGAGGATGCACCCAGCCTGCATGTCTTCCCTCTGCCCCATGTGTGGCTGCAGAGGCAGGTCATACAGGAGGGGACCAGAGAACAGGCAGTACTGCACAGGATAGCTTCAAACCCCAGCTACTAGCTGTGAAACCTTGGGCAACCTACTCCCCAGCTCTGTGCCTCTGTTTCCTCATCTGAAAAGCAGGAACACAGCCTACTTCATTAAGTTGTATGGATTGGAAGAGTTAACATTCAGAAGCATTGAACAGTGCCTGGCGCACAGCAAGCACTCATACGTGGTAGCGCCTTCTGCTGCCAGGGGTAGCATCATCGTCTCAGCAGCTGCAGCATGCACATGTGCAGACCCCACCCTGCACAGACCCACGTGCTCCAGGGGCCTGGAAGGCATATACCGTCCAACCCGACAAGGGGCCCAGGGTCCATCCCGCCCCTTCAAGGCCCGCCAGAACCCACCAAGCCACCAGCCACCACCGCAGCCCTCACCATGCCTTCCATGCCATGGGGCAGCAGCAGCACAATGCCATTATGCCGCACCCACTTGGCCTGGCCGGTGCTGATGAACTGGTCGATGATGCACTGGGCCGTGTTGTGGAAGTCCCCAAACTGGGCCTCCCAGAGGACCAGGGCATTGGGGCTGGCCATGGCATAGCCCAGCTCAAAGCCTAAACAGAAGACAAGATAGAGCTTGCTGCACACAGTCACCAAGTGGCAGTGGCTCCAGTCAAATTTAGCCTTTCTCAGTATATCCTCCATGCCCCCACCCATCCTTCTCACAAGCCAGGACGAACCCAGGGATTCCCTGGGATTCAAAGGGTACAATGTACCATCCTGGGGGCTGACAACATGCTCAGAGATGCTACCCTCAGCCCTGCTATCATGTGTGGTCAGGTTCAACCTTATTTAGGTATCCTGGGGAGGCAACAGGGACCATCTGTCAAGAACTCCTTAAAAACATGCAGAGCTGCTAAGGAGAAGGGGCAGAAACAGCCCTAGAGGCATCTGCCTGGGGGCGGGGGGCTGCCTGGCCTCTAGGGGCAGGCAGTGAGGACGAGGTGAGCCAGCTAATGATGCATCTGAGGGAGAGCATGCACAGGGGACACAGGCAGGGAAGCCCAGAGCCCAGAGAAGGGATCTCAGTGCAGTGTTCCTAGGGTGCAGGGCAGAGGAGGCAAGATGGGGCTCAAAGGAATGTGAGAGGGCTGGGCCAAGACTGGACTGCTCAGCAGCTGGAACCCACAGCAGACTGTGTTGGGCTCTCTGTCTGCGCCCACTGGGGCCCTGATACCCACAAAACCCCTCAAGGCAAGGAGGTCCCCCCAACTGGGATCCCCAAGGGGCCCAGATGGGACACGATTTCACCTCCCACATGGCCTTAGGTGAGGGCAGCCCAATCACCATCCCCCAGGGCCATCCCCTAAGGGCCTCTGAGCATCTCTCGCCCCTCCCAGGCCCTGGCCCCGGTCCCTTCCCAGCCCATCTCTTGTCCCCAGGTGTCTGGGGCCTGCCTGGCCTGCAGGAGAGCGTGGACCCACCCAGGACTCCGTACTCCGAGAGGGAGCTGTTGCACACGGTGTACGGGGCCTGGTCAGGCCAGAGATGATTCATAGGCACACACGTCCTGCGGTCAACCTCCTGGTCATGGAGAACATGGTGCCGGTGACTGCAGAGACACAGACCGGGGCAGGGACAGAGGGCAGGTGGGCTGGCACCTGTTCACCTGGAGCAGGGGAGCTGGGCAGCAGGAGGCAGGCAAGCCTCCGTCACTGTCCCAGGAAACCTGCAGGGTCCCACAACATGGCATCCAAGAAGGCTGTGGAAAACCAGAGCCATGTGGTCCCTCCTGCAGCCTGTCCCCCACCAGGCCTCCCCAGCCTGCCCCCTGCCTGCTAGCAGCGCCCACACACCACGCACTGGGGGGTCTGGGGGAAGGAGCTGTGAGTTGTGGCACCTCTCTGAATGTCAGCTTTTCACCCATAAAGGGGACCTGATAAGACACTTCCCAGGTGCCAGCTAGAGCCAGAGACCCTAGGAGGCCACTTCCCCTGCCCCGTCTTGCTGGCTTCTTTACCATCTCACCAGCCCTGTCCCAACTCACAAGAGGCAGAAACCACCGTGCAGTAGCCGAGGTGGGCACAGTAAGTGAGGGGCGCCTGGCTGAACCCCAGTCCCTGGCAAGGACTGACAGGTAGCTCTGGGTGCATCAGAGGGCCACCTGGGCCCTGGCTGGAGCAAGACCAGCCGAGATAAGCAACCAGGAATGAGAAAGCCAGCTGGTCAAGTCCTGGAAGCCACACCACCCTGGCTTGCTAACCAGGAGCGGACTGAGGCAGGATCTAGAACATTTTAGGAACCCGAACCAGAGGAAATGTGGTGTGGACAACTGACAAGTGTCAAGTCCCCATTTGGATTCACAAAGACAACTGCAAACAAGCAAGATAGGGGCTGACTTAACAGCAGTACACACACACACCACACACATACATACACATGCCACACATACCACACACACATACACATCCCCACACACCAAACACATACATACACACACACCACACACATACATACACACACCACACACACCAAACACCACATACACACACATCACACATACCACACATACATGCAAAACACACCACACACATATACACCACACACATCCATGCACACACACCAAACACCACACACACTACACACACCACACATACCACACACACCACACATACCACACAACACACACACCACACAGACTACACACCACAAACACAATCACACACACCACACACACTACATACACTACACACACACAACCACACACACCCCACAAATACCACACCACACATGCACCAAACATGACACATACCACACATATCACACGCACACCACACTACACACCACACACCCCACACATACCACACAAACACCCTCACACACATTACACACATACACACCCTACACACACACCAAACATACACACACATCACACACACCATACACGCCCCACACACACTATACACACCCCACACACATACGCACACCCCCACAAACCACACACGCACACACCACACATACACCACACATACCCCATACACACTCAACACACAACACACACCACACACACCACAAATGCACCACACCCACCACAAACACCACACACGACACACACCACACATGCACCACACAACACACCACACACCCACAAATACACACCACACCCCCACACACACCACACACACCATACACACATACACACCACACATACAACAAACACACCACACACACGCACCACACACACCCCCTATACACTCCCCCCACTCACCACATACCACACACCACATACACACCAAACACACCACACACACACACCACACACAACTCGCCCACACTCACCACACACCCCCCACACACACATGATCCTGAGGACCACAGATGGCCACCAGCTTGACCTTAGTGGACAGCTTGGGCCCAGCAGTGAGCTCTGCACACTTGCCCTGGGGGGTCAGCGAGGTGGCCATCTGATGATGCCACCTGAGGGCAGGGGCTAGGGATGCTGTGAAGATCCCACCCCAACAAAGGCCCCCTCGGGATCCCCAAGCCAGGCCCAGCTTCTGCTCCAGGTCTCCTGTGCGGATGCTGAGCCCCACTGCGCTCACCTGAATGTGCCCCTCTCCACATCCTGCCCGCTGAGCCGCACGTGGATGCCTTCCTTCAGCAGGGAGCCAAAGGCCATGTACTCTGCCAACGCCCAGTCCACCGTCCGGTTCTTGGTCATGTCCGCACGGCCCCGCAGAATGCGAGAGAGGCCTGTGGGAAAGGAGTGCTGGCCTGAGGGCCAAGGGACAGCCAGCCCTGGGGCGGGTAGGTAGGTGCTCAGCACACACCCCGCACAAAGCAGGGCAGCCATCTGTTGATTTGGTTGGAGGGCAGGGATGCTGCAGGAGGGCCCAGGGCCAGGCACCCCTCCTCCAGCTGAGACAAGGGGCTACCCCGAGCCTGTGGAGGGGTGGAGCAGGTACCACTTGGCAAGCATTGGCCACGTTGCAGACACCGTCAGGCTCAGAGTCATTTACTCAGATCACACAGCTGTCAAGGTACACGGATTTGACTCCAAGTCCCCAGGCTTATGCTGTGCTCCTGTCAGCCCCACACACAGAGGCTAACACACAAACAGAGCGGGCACATGCCCCAAACGCTGTCAGCAGCTGCCCCAGGACATTCGGTCTCGGTGCACACTGTAAGGGAACCCCCTCAGAACTCCCCCAGGTGGGTCAGAGGGTGTGTAGGCACCCCAATACAGCCACAGGGGACCCTCCGGACTTCCCAGGCAAAGGTCACAGTGGCCCCAGCCAAGGGATGCAGTCGGTGACCACCCACATTCTAGTCTCACCCCGGAGTGGGGGGGCTGCCCTCGGTCATTGGTCCAGGCCCCGGCAAGCCACCGTCCTTTCAGCTGCAGAATTCTGCCCACGTTCCAGGCTGCGTTCCAGCCCCTGTATGGGAGCCCTTGCTTTCCTGCTCTTCTGCCTGACCCAGGGACGCCCCGGCAAAGGCATTTGGAAAATCCAAGGTCCCCAACCTAAGACTAGTCACTGGTACCCAGCTGGGAGTGTGGCATCTGGAGCTGCCCAGCTCGCCACGCCCACCCTGAAAAGAGCTACTGTCACGGGCACAGACATGGTGCCGAGAGCTACGTGGACCCACTACAGACTGAGCAGGAATGCGACACACCATCTCTCTTGCATCCCAACCAATCTCCCTTCGAGGCACAGTGTTGGGGTGGGGCCAGCAGCCTGGGCTGCAGCCTGTCCAGCAACCTCACCAGTGTGGATCTTAAAGTCCTCCAGGGGCACAGAGCTGGCCACACTGCCGATGTGGGTGAGCATGTCCTCAGGGATCCCCGTGGCTGGGCATGTCATGCTCTTGGGCTCCCCATCTACGTTGAAGAAGCCTGAGAGGGAGAGAGGCTCTGTCCACACTGTGTCAGTGGTGGGTTCTGATCCCCCTGGCCAGCCTGCCTCCCCAGGACTGAGTGGCCCATGGCTTCCCAAACTCCACCGGCACTCGGACTCACCCTGAGCCCACCCTTGGGACCTGGGACAGCTGGACAGCCACAGCTGCAACTCCCCCACAGGCCCAACACCCACCTCTGGGCCCCAGGGTAACAGCTCTTCTAACCCTGCCCCCCAGGGAGGCCCTCTGAGCACCCTGGCCCCAAGCATCCAGTGCCCAGGGCTTCCTCTCCCACCTGGCTATGCCCTCCCTTTTCAGTGAGCACCTGGCCATCCATGCTCAGAGGGCAATGCTATCCTTGACTTGCAGGAATCGGCCCCACGCAGCTTTGGGGACTCAGTGATAGAGCCTGCAGCCTCTAGACTAGGCAATGACAGCTGTCACCCAGGGCCATTCCAGTCCTGATCCCAGTGCAAGACCTCAAGGCCCAGGGGAGTCCCTCTGAGCCACACACTGCTCGCTCACCAGGCCAGGGGGAGTCCAACCAGTGCTTTATATGCAGAATCTTTTTATCCTTGGACCTGCCATAAGCCTCCTCACAGATCCGGTCGTATTTGGCAATTTCTTCCTGGAATCAGGATGAAGATGTGGACAGAGCACCAAAGCCCTGCGCAGCCAGACGCCCAGTCCACTTGGACTCGTAAGTCCTGGTCCCCATCACCAAGTTCTTCTAGAACTCTCTGTCTCTGGCCTATAGGGACCTCATGGCTAGAAGCCAAAGTCTCAGAGTTCAGGGGATCCTGTACAGGTACCCCGAGGCTGGGCAGGCCTGCAGTGCGCTCAGCAAGGGGCTTGGAGAAGGCTCTGGAAACTTGTAGTCCTTGCCCTCAGAGCTCCATGAAGGTGGAAGGACGAACACTCCATAGATAATTATGGGGACAACCCCAGCTCAGGGCTGCCTCCTACAGGAAGCCTTCCCGCACTCCTGCTCAAGGCTGGACTTCCCCCACATTGCAGTACCCACTGTGTCCCACTTGGCTGTAACTGCATCCTTAGTTCTTGGTCCCCTTTGGTAACTGGGGCCTCTTGGGGACAAGGACCATAGTGGCTACTTCTTTAAATCCTTAGTGCCCAGCACTGGGCTGGTAACATCTACAACCCCTCTCCAGGGTCCCCACCCAAAGTTTGTCTTGGGCGCCCCTGCAGCCTGCCTGCCCACCTCAAACTCCTGCAGGGTGACTGTGCCCTCGGCAATCAGCTTGTCTGCGTACTTCTTCAGCACAGGCACCTGTCTGTGGATCTGCTTGTACATGAGCGGCTGGGTGAACATGGGCTCGTCCATCTCATTGTGGCCACGCCGGCGGTAACAGACCTGCAGGAGCAGCCAGAGGGGCTCAGGCCCTTCCCTACGCTGTGTGGTCAATGTAGCTGCTGCAAAATTGGGGAATATCTGGGTAGGGCACACCCACTGGGAGCCCTTTGAGCTCCACTATCACCTATCACCGAATGAATGTCCCGTCCCAGGCCTTTGCACAGATTGCTCTTGGTGGCATAAATCTCTCATCCAAGAAGCACTCCCAGCCCTGAGTGCTGAAGATGCTGATGACATGGCTGGCTCAGCACAGCAGGGATGGGCCACCCACCCATGCCTTGGCCTCAGTCCCCAGACCCACCAGGTCCACGACAACATCTTTGTTGAAAGTGTTTCTCCATTCGGCTGCCACACTGCACACATATATCACAGCCTCTGGGTCATCGGCATTCACATGGAAGATAGGCGCATTGACCACCCGGGCCACGTCGGTCGGGTATGGTGAGGAGCGGGCCATTCGGGGGTCTGTGGTGAATCCAATCTGCAGAGGCAGGAGAAACCTGCTGCGCCTCTCAATTTACTTAGAGTGAGATAGAAGGTGCCAGCCTTGGAGACTGAGCAGGGGGATGCTCAAGGTCCACTGAGGTGCCCAGGAGGAATGTGGGACACAACAGGGTGATGGTGAGCAGCCCCACAATTAGACACGGCAACAGCTCCCACGGGGACGGCAGCAGCACCAGCCGGGTGGAGCCTGCTCTTTTTCGCCAGTCACTTTGACACACTGGTAGTGAGGAACATAGGCCTGGAAAATCCAGTCCTAACAACGGCTAACTGCAACCTGGGGCAAGGTGCTTACATACCCACAGCCTGTTTCCTCATCTATAAAAAGGGGTCACTTAAATTCCCACCTCACAGGATGTTCAAGGACGATGACGTGACTTAATGCAAACAAGGCAGTGAACACAGGGCTTTCTAGACTCCATATGAGCTGTTAGAAGCTCAGCTGCCTTAGAGAAAGGGCACCAAGGTCCCTGTGTCTAAGATTGCCCATGTGGGGCTGCACACGGCCAGCCTCCATGAGGCACTCGCTACACAGGTGCTCCTTTGGTCCTTCCAGCCCTACTTATCCCTCCCTATTGTGTCTTCCAATTTCACAGACCAGGACACCAAGGCTGGAAAGAGCAGGGTCCTGCCTGGTAAGCAGCACAGCAGTGGGCTCAGAGCCAGGAGCATCTCACTTTCCCCGCAAGCTACTGCCTGGATTTCCAGGGATGCTGACGCTGTGAGGCCCAGCGTGGAGCCTACATGCTCACCTGGTTGTTGACGACGACGTGCACGGTACCATTGGTCGTGTAGGAGGGCAGGTCGCTCAGGTGGAAGGTCTCATATACCACGCCCTGGCCAGCAAAGGCGGCGTCCCCATGAACCAGGATGGACATGACCTGCAGGGCAGGTGTGAGCCAGGAGGGGCTGCGTGCCCCAGCCCATGTAGCCCAGCCGGCACCTGTACTGTGGAGACCCAGGGTCCAGCCCAGCCCTCTGGGCCCACCCTGAAGGGCCCAGGTCCTCTGGGTTCCCCCAGGTGAGCTCACCTTCTTGCCCTGGGCATCTCCACGGTAGAACTGCTCTGCCTTTGTCTTCCCCTGCACCACAGGGTCCACTGCCTCCAGGTGGGAGGGGTTGGCAACCAGCGACAGAGTGATGTTCCGGTTGGTGACGCGGTTGATCCTCTCATGGTACATGCCCAGGTGGTACTTGACATCCCCGGAGCCCTGAAGGTGGAGATGGGAACATGATGGATCCTCCCCTCCCACATCAGACAGGCAGATACACAGGCAGGCACTGCAGCCCACAGTCAGGCTGGCACATTCCCCCGATCCCACTGCCTCAGAGGGCCAAGCTGTCTCTGACCCCTCTCTCCTCATCACACTGCCCCTCCTCACTGGCCTGAGGGAGGAAGGCAGGGACCCCAGGCCTTGGCTCAGAGCCTCTCTGTACACTGACCATGGAGCAGGAGAGCACAAGAGTGGGGAAGGCCATCCAGCGGTGGGGAAGGCAGGGAGAGAAGGGCAGTGCCTAGGCATCAGCGCAGAGACCCTCGGCCAGGCCACCAGCAAACACTGAAGCTGAATCCCCTGACTCCTCACACCAATGGTAGCAATGAGGAACACACAACATTTTATGACCCTGAAGCAAGGAAGACTTACAGCATTCTACACAATATCCTAACACCAGAAAACACAAAAGACACCTAAATTCTAGCAAATTTGCCATGGGGGAGCAAACCCACGCCCAGCGATAGGGGAAACAAATCAAGCTGAGAAAAATATTCATAAACAAATGCAGGCAAAGGGCAAATTCCCTCAATGTACAAAACGCTTTTACAAATCAGGAAGATAAAGCCCAAAAACTCCATAGGAAAATGAGCAAAAGCCACAAGCAGGAATTTACAGAAAAATATGAATGGCTCAAAAGCATGTGAAAAGATAAGCAACTGAATTCATAACAAAGAAATGCATTACAACAAAATCCTCTTTTGAACCTATTATATCGGCAAAGATGAAAGGATTCGAGAGCGTGTAGGAGGAAGTGGGGTGGGGGCTCTGGCACCATCACACACTGTGGATGGGCTCGCTGACATCTGCCAGCTCCTGGGAGGGTCGTTCAGTCCCACCCCCGTAGCTCCAGCCGCTGCACTGCTCGGACACCATCTAACAGATAAACTCGCTCACACATGTGCAAGGACCCTCATGAGAACAACCCAATGTCCAGCACAAGGGATGCTTTAGCTGTAAGAAGCCTGGGGTAGCCCATGTGTGCAGGCAGGAAACAATGACAACTTGTTAAGTGAAAACAGCAAGGTGCCACCCGGTGTCACGGCTATGCCCATGGCCTCTTAGAAATAAGGTTGCACTGGAAAAAGAGGTTTGTTTGTATCAGCATGAAATGTTTCTAGAAGTACACACCTAAACACAACAGAAGCACACAAACAAAATTGGCCACAAGAATGGAGTCTCACTGAGGAACATATTCTCATTGTATAAGCTTTGTTCTGTTTTGTTGTTTTCACAATGATCAAATTTCTTTTTCAGTTGAAAAAAAATAGTAATTTCATTTTAAACATCCTTTGGCCAAGTTTTCCACTATACACACAGGTCATCTTTGACTCATTGCAACCATTCTCGGGCATGCGCTTTTATCCCTGTTTTATGGAAGAGCAAAGTGAGGCTTAGAAGGCTGAAGGTGCTAGAACAAAAGGAACAGGATGTCAGAAAGACCTGGGATAGGAGCCAGTAGGTATGGGTCCACACACACACACACACACACACACACACACACACACACACACGGCAGCAGGCTGGAGACAGCAGGAGAGATAGTCCTGAGGGCAAAGGGACACAGAGGAGGGAGTGACAGGCTCACTGCCCAGGGGACCCAGAGAGCCACCGAAAGGGAAGATGGGCAGGACTTTGAAAGAGGCTAGGCAGTGGCCGGAAGCGGTGGCTCCATGCCTGTAATCCCAGCACTTTGGGAGGCCGAGGCAGGCAGATCACCTGAGGCCAGGAGTTCAAGACCAGCCTGACCAACATGGCAAAACCCCATCTCTACTAAAAATACAAAAATTAGCCGGGCGTGGTGGCGCATGCCTGTAATCCCAGCTGCTTGGAAGGTTGAGGCAGGAGAATCGCTTGAACCCAGGAGGCAGAGGTTGCAGTGAGCCAAGATCATGCCATTGCACTCCAGCCTGGGCAACAAGAGCAAAACCCCATCTCAAAAAGAAAAGGAAAGAAAGAGGCTAGGCAGTATGGGCTGAAGGCCTGGCCCAGGCCTCCCAGGGAGGGGGTGGGAGCAGGAACAACATTTCCTCAGCAGGTCGATGGGTACGGAAAACCATCCTCACCTCCCAAGGCTCTGCTGGGCAAACAAATGAGCAAGGGAGTCATTCCTGGCTGGTGGACAGGACTTTGGACATGGAGGCACAGCCACATGAGCAGAACTGAGCAACTTCCAGCAAGCCTTTGCATCTTTGGGCTTCAGTTTCCCTAGCTCAAAACAGGGAGGTTGACCCAGATTATCTGAGGGCCCTCCCAGCTACCAGAGACTGCAGCCCTTGCTCCAAAAAGCCTTAGGGTCCTCAGGCAAACACCCAGCCTCTCTCCTGCAGGCTTCTCCAATGCATCCATCTTAAGGTTTATCTCAGCCCGGAAGCTCCCGGCTCAGCCCCTCCACAGTCCACCTCCCAAACACCCAGCTCTCCAAGGGTGCCGGGACCTGGGCATGGCACCCACCTCGTCCGCCGCCTCCAGCTTGGGGTCAAACTGGCAGAAGATCTGCTCCAGGTCCTTGCGGATCACGTTGGCCAGCACGTTCAGCCTTCCCCTGGAGCCAGAGGGGCCGGGCTCTCACCTGGCAAAGCCCGCAGGCCTCAGGGTTCCCTCCCCCACTGTGGAGGCCTGGCCTGGCCTAATACAGCCCCTTCGTGCCCAGAGCCCTCCTCAGGCCACCCAATCACCAGGCACCATCCTCTCCTGCTGCTGTAATGGCCCGAGGCTTAAAGCCCCATGCTTTCTTGCTGCCTCAGGCCACTGGGCCAGCTCTGCCTAACTCTCTGACCAGACACTGGGCATTCCCAGGCCCCCCATGACAGACAAACCCCAAAGTCCTGGCAGGCCAGCCACGAATGGGGACCCCTGCACCATGCATTTGGATGCCCTCATGCTGATGTAGCCCTGGGCTAGTCCAACCACAAGCAGCTCTCTGGTCACGGGAAAAGCCCAGGGCCCTTCCCACAGGCCACTCTGCACATCTGCACATGCCCACTCAGCAGGACCCCTGGCCACAGACGTCTCTGTCCCCCAGGGTGCATTCCCCCTCCTGCTTCCCCACAGGCTCCAGCTCAGAGGTAACGCCCCACTGCTGAGCAAGCCTCCTAGATCTTCATCAAGGTCAAGGGAACACGCAGTCAGCTTGCAGCCAGGTCAGAGACCCTCGGCTCACCTCCACAGACCTCCCTGTTGGGGACACAACCCGGGAACAACTGCCCAGGCCCTGCCCTCCCTTCCCTGGAAGAAATCCCTCCACCTCTCCTTGTCCACAGGAACCTCAAGAAGTATAGTGTACCGCTTTCTGAAATCTCACCCTTGCTAGGGACAGAGGCAACATGGCCAGGGAGAGAGGGTGCCTGATAACCTGGTTAGCACCCGGCCCCAGGTGACTCTGGCCAAGTACCCGGCAATTTCTGTGACGAGCAGGCCAGGCCCAGGACTCAGAACTTTCCAGGAAACCCACCTCTACCCCCAGGTCCCACCAACACCTCCGCTCTGATTTCCATCTCATCTCTCCCACCTCTGTCCCCTGGGCTGGAGGAGAATGCGCAAGGCACAGCAGGGAGGGGGACCCACCTGTGTGGCATCCCCAAGATGACATTCTCAATCCCCATCTCGCTGGATTTGTCGATGATGGTCTTGAGGGCAGGAATCATCACTTCACAGCCCTCCAGGCCAAACCGCTTCTCTGAGGACCATTTCCGGGCCAGGAAGTCTTCAAACCTGCTTGGGGAGAGGATGGGAAGAGGAAAGGGAAAGGGATGGAGAGGGAGGGGACTGGGGCTCACAGGGGCTGTTCATGAGTGCTCAGAGCTGAATGCTGAGGACAGAGGAAGTCACAAATCCTCCTTCCACCTACATGGTCCAGGGCCCACCATGGATACACCTGTCCCACCCAGCAAAGGAACACAGGGTTAGGGGAGGCTAGGCATCTTCCCAGCTGAACCAAACGCCTCTGCCTACACCCCTTCCCAGCTGCCGCCCTCTCTCTTCCTCATAGCCAAGCTCCTCCAACAGGCCACTGCCCACCCACTCCTAGCCCACTACCCTCCTGCCACACTCAAGGGCTCTCTTCGCCAAGTCCCAAAGATCTCCACCCAGCCAGATCCAAACTCCAGCCCACACCTCGCTGCTCAGGAATCCACTTTGCATCCAGCAGCTGAGTCAGGTGCTCCCCCAGCCCCTGCAGCCCTGGGGGACCCAGCTTCAGAAAAGTCCAGTGAACAGACAGGTGGTGTGGCCACAGTCACTCCACACCAGGGATAATTTTCTGCCCAAATGTTCCCACAGCCACTTCCCGCCACTTCTGGCCTTGCTCAGTGTCCCCGCTCTCTTGTTCTCCTAGAGCCTCATCCCTGCCCACCTGACCTGCTCTGCCTTGGGCCAGCTCTTGGCCAAACTGCCTAAACACCTGGTCCCAACTCTCCTCCCTGCAGCCAGTGGTGAGGCCGATCCAGTCCTGCCTTCCTGTGGTACCCTCCTGCTCTCTTAGGCAGGGTGTGGGACGTCTCATAGAGCCCTGGAGCAGGACCTCCAGCCACTTGGCCCTCCAGGTGGTGCCAACCTCATGGAGCGCACTAGCCGGGCCAGCAGGGTCCGCTTCTCCTCGCTGGAGAACTGCATCACACCAGGGGTCTCAAACTTCTGCCGGATCCACTGGCACTGCTCCACATCGTTGATGAACATGAACTCCAGGCCAATGTGCTGGCAGTAGGTGTTCTGGGGAGACACATTGGGACCCCATGAGGAGCGGGGAAGAGGGACGGCTGACATCCCTGCTGTCTAGAACAAAAAAGACAGTGCCTTCCCGTCCTCTGGCAAGCTCCAAAGAGCTGCTTCAGCTGCACCCCACACACCCGCCTGTGCTCACCTCCAGGCGCCGAATGATCTCCCGCAGAGAGAGGGTGTTTTCAGAGCCCCCAATGAAGGTGGTTGTCGGCAGCTGGAACTCCTTATCAAGGTCAGCCTCCTGAAGGTCATAGAAGGCTGGAGAAGGAGGCGTGGCCGAGCCCCGGGCAGCAAAGTGGAGGGAGGGAGGTCAGGCCCAGGTGGAGCCCCGCAGTCTCACCAGACCTCCCAGTCTCCCCAGTGCCCTCCCTCTGGGTCCAACCTGGGGAGCAGAAGTGAGAGTGAGCCCAGGGAGGCAGGGTGGACAAGCCTCTCAGGCTTGAACACATGGGGCACAAGCTAGGGAAAGTGGCAGGCATCCTTCTCAGGAACAACAGGCAGTACACAGGCAAGGTAGAAAGGAGGCCCTGTGGGCTGCTCCCCGAGCTCCATGGATTCCCAAGGATCAGGCTGTCCCTAGTGCCCGTGGGCCCCTTACTGGGCCACCCACACAGCACTGCCATGGCCGTCCTGAGGAAGGGTCTTACCCAGTTTATCAATGGTTGTGATCAAGTCTGAGGGCACAAAGGAGTCCAGGTCTGCATCCAGAATGCCCAGGGGGTCCAGCTGGGCCACATGGTGACCCCGGATCTGGGAGGAGGGAAAAGAGCAGGGTGGGGCTGGGACCCAGCTGGACAGACCTCCTCCAGGGTAAGGCTCTGGGCCCCAGCCCCTCTCTTCCCATTCCCGAATGTTAAGCTTCCCCATGTCTCTGCCCCGCGGCTACTTCACTGCTGCCTGCGAGACCCCAGCCACAGCCAGTAAGGTGGCAGGAGCTCAACCTGGTTTGGAAGTACAACATGCACGGGCAAAAACAGGAAAAAGACCTATGCACAAAGGTGTTCACTGCGGTGCTACTAGTAATAGTGAAATTCTAGAAACTTCCCCACTGTCTATCAGCAGGAGACTGGCGCATGGATATGGGCGATCCACACAGCGGAGCACTCCAGAGCCATTAAAAGGAAGAAGAAAAATCCCCATCTGATACTACAAGGTAGTCTCTAAAAAATATTGTTAAGCAAAAAAGCAAATTCTAGCAAAGTATGTATGGTGAACTACACATTATCTAATAAAAAGGAGACACAAATAAATATATGCATTAGAAGGGAAAATCATAAAATTTAAAAAAACCACAACATAAGAAAAATTATCCTCTAGGGGAGGGGACAAAATAGGATAGAGAGGCAGGGCTAGGAGCCAGATTTTTAAGAAGTTATCTTACTTTGAAGATTTGACTTTCAAACCTTGTAAATATTTTACATTCTTATAAAACAAAATTAAGTCTTAAAAATTGAAAGTGAAATGAATCAAATGAATAAATATGTCCACTTAGTGGCATAAATACAGAGAGAAACCATTCCAATTGACTAATGGAACATTCCCTAAAGACAAACAGAAAAAAATTCATCAAGTCTTTTTTATTACCAGTCAGTCGTAATAGTGTTAGAATTGTTATGCTGGCTGGGCACAGTGGCTCACACCTGTAATCCTAGCACTTTGGGAGGCTAAGATGGGTGGATCACCTGAGGTCAAGAGTTCAAGACCAGCCTGACCAACATGGTGAAACCCCATCTCTACTAAAAATACAAAATTAGCTGGGCGTGGCGGCACATGCCTGTAATCCCAGCTACTTGGGAGGATGAGGCAGGAGAATCGCTTGAATCTGGGAAGTGGAGGCTGCAGTGAGCTGAGGTCGCACCACTGCGCTCTAGCCTGGGCTACAAGGAGAAACTCCATCTAAAAAAAAAAAAAAAAAAAAAAAAGAACTGTTATTCTAAGATTGTTGCATGTGAGCTCTGGGAAATCAAACAAGCCATTGTACTGGCATCTTTGAGAACCTCTATTTTTGACATCTCTAAAGGCAATGTTGCCATAAGATTGACAGGGTCAAGGACAAACCCCAAATCCCACATTTGTAGCACGTTAGAAGCATCAGTATAAACCCTTTCCTGGCTCTGATTCCTGAAAGGGCCCAGAAGTAATGATCAAACCAATAGCAGGAAACAGCCAGAGACCTGGACAGTTCTGGAATAGGCAGAAATGTACAAGCTGAGCTTGAAGCATCTTGTTATACCAACATCAAGGCAGTGTTCAAACACCACGAGTGCTGGGAATAAGGACAAGTTTTGAGCAACTATAAGGACAGTATACCTACAGCAGATTGAAACTCATCAAATATGTTTATATTCATGCATTCATATGAATCCAAAAAAAAGAAGATAAACTTTCATTAGTCACTTTTGGAGTGTGCTAGGGAATCACCTCATAATTTTGAAAATCACTGAATAAAAGAAAAAAATAAAGCAGTGATCCTGTCTTTCCTACACAATCTGCACCTCAGGATAAACAGAGTTAACAAACGGAAGTTTCTCCTGATAGTGGGACTTCAGTTAATAAAGAAGGCAAAACAGAATTGGCATATCACCATTTTTGCAACCCCTAGTGAGTTAATGGATCTAGGAAATCACTATCCACAGCTGCTAACTGCTCAAGTGCCATCACCATCACCACCAGGAAGCTGATTTTGAAAAAAAAAAAAATCAAATGTCTATGGGATCGAGCCTCTAGATCTAATTGTCAAAGTACAGAAATTACATGGGACAATGGGACAGATGAAATGACATCATGAGGAAGCCATCAGCAAAATCCAGACTTGGGAAAACCCTACAGGACAAACCACCTGGTTTTTCCACATCATAAAAAGAAACAGAGGGAACCTGCAAAGTACAAGAGACGTAAGAGCCACTTTAGCCTATTGCAACCTGTGGATTTAGCTGGATCCTGCTTCAAAGAAGCAGTAAAAAGAAAGCACAGGCTGGGTGCAATGGCTCACGCTGTAATCCCAGCACTTTGGGAGGCCAAGGCGGGCAGATCACTTGAGGTCAGGAATTCAAGACCAGCCTGGCCAACATGGTGAAACCCCGTCTCCACTGAAAACACAAAAATCAGCCAGGCGTGGTGGCAAGCACCTGTAATCCCAGCTACTCAGGAGGCTGAGCCAGGAGAATCACTTGACCACGTGGGGCAGAGGTTACAGTGAGTCGAGACTGCATCACTGCACTCCAGTCTGGGTGACAGAGTAAAACTCCATCTAAAAAGAAAAAAAGAAAGCACAGGACAAAAGGCAAACACAAATGTCAACTGCATATTTGATATTAGGCATTATTATGTTTAGATGCGATAATGGTATCATGGCACATTTTTTAAGAAGCCCTTTTCTCTAGACATACACAAAGAAATGTTCAATGAATGAAATGCTATATCTGGGATCTGCCTCAAGATAATCAGCAGTGAGCGGGGGCTAAGGGGGAAATTGATGAAACAAGGCTGGCCATGATTGATGGGTGGTGGGCTCACTGCACTATCCTTCTGCCTTTTATATGTTTGAAAATGCTTATAATAATACAGTGTTTTTTTTTCAGCACAGTGTGCAGGTGATTCTAACCACAGCTGTGCCTGCTACTCGCCTGTAAGGGGCTGCAGCCCTCCTGGTGGGAGCTCATCCACACCAGGCACAACAGAGTAACACACCTGAATCCAGAAGCCACCCTGCCAGGAAAACTCTCTAATGCCTCGTCTTGGTTAATCAAAGAACAAAGAGCTACTGAAGGGCTGAGATCTGTGCTTAGAAGATAAGGCCCTCGGGCAGCACCCTGAACGTTTCCCTGTATTTAATATACAGTTTTACATCCTTGTTCTTCATTTTTGAAGTCAAGGGTTAGATCACTGTCTGCTTCTTTCAGCCAGCCAGGAAAGACACAATACACAATAGCTGCTGTTTGCTCCTAGGTGGCCCACAATTGATGGGTCCTCAGGCCAGAAGGGAACCCAACCCTGCTCACCTTCCCTCTTCCATCCCCAGGTGGGTGGTGTACAGGGAACTCTGTTCCATCCCACAGATTGGGCAGCTCATTCAGAGGCAAAGCATCATTTCCATTTGCTAATGCCCCCCTGTACCCTAGCCTTGCTGTGGCTTGCTGCTGCCTCACATTTCCCTGACGGAATACCTCCTGCCAGCAGTTCCCAGAGATATTCCAAATGATTACGCTTGTTATGGCCTGAACACCGCAGCAGTCCTCCAATTAGTCCTGTCTGGTCAAGACCAAAAACACACACCATCACTGGGACTCTGACAGAGCAGGGGCCCAGCATGGGAGAGCCTAAGTCTCCAGGAGGAGCAACTGGTGGGGGAGAATTGTTTACTGAACCATTCATTCCATAAACATGAATTAGGCACCTGCTGTATCAGTCCCTGTTCTCCCAGGATGCCCATTCTAGAGGAGAAAACAGAATTAACAAGGGTTAATCTACTCACCCCTCATTCAACAGGCTTTGGAATTGATCCCTTACTAAGTGCTCCTCCACGTACTCGGGGCATGGTGTGTGCAAGGAACAGACCACAAGGACACAAGTCAGTATGCACAAAAAAAAATTCAAGCAGGTGGTAAGTGCTCTGAATGGTGATGTGGCAAAGACTGGCTAGAGGAGTAGGTGCCGCTCAGTAGAGGACAAGGAGAAGGGCTCTCTGGGGAGATGATGTTGGAGCTGAGACCCCTTCCCTTCAGTGCCTGGCCACACCCCAGGAGCCAGTGCAGCCTCCCAGGCTGTGCCTCAGCTGCCCCTCACCTGGTAGGCCCGGATCAGGGACTGCACAGCCAGGTGGTCCTCCACCAATTTGCTGGTCTTGGTCCGACTTGAGACTGCAGACCTGCTCTCATGGACAACAGAAGGGGGCCGTGGCTGAGCAGAGCCAGAAAAGGCTTCCTCGCTGGCTTCCCTGAAGAAGCTGTCCCAGGACTAGGCAGGGCAGAAACAAGAACGCAGCCAGGTCAGGGCCTGGGAAGAGTCAGGGGTGGCCCAGGCTGGGGCCCCAAGGAGTGTCAGGTCTTCCTTGAGGACCACAGCTCTCAGGGCCTTCCCAGGGTGCCTAGATGTACATACAACGATGTTCCCTGCAGAACTGTTTACAAAAATTGACAATGTGAAAACAACCTACATGGCTATCCATAGAAAACTGGCTAAATAACGATTTTACATTTAGAATCTGGAAGATTACACAGTCTTTTAAAAAGGTGCTTTCAGTATTGTGGACATGGAATATTGCCAAGATACGTTTTAAAGTGAATGAAGCAGAAGAGGATGTATGGCTGCTACTCTCTGTGTAGAAGCAAAAAGCAGATGTGAACACACACAGGCATTTGCATGTGTTTTCCATAAGAACAATGTAAAAGCGCTTTCCTCCGTGCACTCCCATACGGCACTGGTGGGAGACTCAGTTGGTACAATCCCCATGGAAAGCAACTTGGCAATACCCATCAAAATTATACACAGCCACTCCTGGACCCAACTATTCCACTTTGGGGAATTTACCCTACAGATGGCTCTGCAGGTGCAAGATGATGAAGGTGTAAGATGATGCACTGCAGCACTGTTCGCCACAGTCAGAGACTAGAAATGAACCAGATGTCCATCAGCAGGAATAGGGGTGGCACATACATGCAATGGAATACTACACAGCTGGACAGAGTGAATAGTGAGGCTCTTCATGTACTGATATGGAAAGATCTTGGAGATACATCACCAAGCGAAAACAGCAGGGAGCAAAACAGTATGTGTTACAGGTTACTTTTGCGTAAAGGGAGACAAATCCAGAGTTACATTTGCAGTAAGTTTACCTAATGCAAGTCTTGGAAAGGATATAGAGGACACTAAGTTGGGGGACAGTGGGAACTGAGCAGATGAGGATAGATTAGGAGGGAGCTTTCTGACTGTGTAACTTCTTATACCTTCTGGCTTTGGATCATGTGACTGCACTGCTTTCCACTGCAGGTGAAGGGGTCAGAGAACAACTTCACTTTTCACCCTCCCATCTAATTTAATTTTTTTCTTTACTATCAGCAAGTATTTATTTTATCAGATCAATACATACACAAACACGTATGTCCCTAATTACATACAAAGGAGCATATGGAGGCAGCATAGCACGACAAAGGGGGCACGGCAGGGCTCAGGTGTGGCTGAGCAGGACATGGCCAGGGCCTCTCAATCAAAACCACCACCCACTGGCTGATTCAGCAAAGGGAAAGCAACAGGCTTTGATGACTGAGGACCTGAGAGGCAAAGAAACCTGCCCAGGATCACACAGCAGGCAAGCTGCTTCTCCCCACTGCCCTGCCACAGCCCGGCCCCCGAGGGCTTCCCTCCCTTGCGGTGGCCCAGGGTAGGGTGGGGATGCTGACCTTGTGGACACTCTGGGGGTTTTCCAACCAGGCGAAGTACATCTCCTCCATGTAACTGGAGCCGCCTCCACCTTTGCTGCTTGGGAAGGTGGCCGGTGGCCCGGAGGACCTGCTGCGCCAGCCAAACACCGGGACGTCATGTGCAGCCAGGAGCCTCGCAGCCTGTACCCCAAGACGGGACGGCAGCAGCCTCAGCTGACTCATTCTGGACACAGGCAATGAAGGAGAGGCATAAATGGCAGGACCAAGACAGGAAGAGGCTCTACCAAGCCACTGTCCGCTCATCAGCACTTGTCATTCCCACTGGGCAGATGGTGCTGGGCTAGGCAGTGATGAGACTGGGAATGTGACACTCTCCCAGCCCCCTGGGCTTACTGTCTGGTGGAAGCTCCCAGCTCAGTAAACTCTATCAATAGATATCAAACAGCCCTGAGCCCCAGCCCTGCTGTGCCACACTCATCCCAGACCACACTCCTTCCCGGATAGTCCCCAAAGCCTGTGCAGAGACATGAACTCCCCAGGCCCTGCCTCAGGGAGCACCCACCTAGGTCCTGGAGCCCACTCGGAGAGCCACAGGGCAGGTGCAGGGAGTACCACCAAGAAGGAGTGGGTCTCAGGCCCACCACCCTAGAACCAGGGCAGGCAGTCCTCCAGGGGTCAGGTGTGTTGTGCATGGTCAGGGAAAAGCAGGGGCAAAAGCATCCAGTGAGCACAGGTGTCGGGGGTGATAGAGGCACACTATCTCAGGAGGGCTGTGGCTCTAGTCATTGCGACCAAAAGTGACCAGTGACTCCCTGTGACTGCAATCCTGGGCCAGAGTGCCCTCTCTCCCAGGCCCAGCCAGAAGGCTGGTGACACTAGGCCCAACAATAGCCCCACTTCATTGCAGGAAGGGCTAAGGTCTGGAGGGGCAGGAAGAGTAGAATGGAAGGCAGCCCCAGGCCCAGCCCAGCGCCACTCAAGACAGCTAACAGTCCAGGCAGGTACAGACTGGAAGCCCACCCAGACCACGGGGAACCAGGCCCTGCAGCTCATCTCACCTCACTCTGTCACCTGTGCCTTCCCAGGGAAAATATCTAAATCTTGGGCTTTCAGTGATGGGGGCTTTCTCTATTCCGCAGACGGTAAGAGTTCTAAGAGCCCTCTGCCAATCCTGGAGAACCCCCCAGATATCCCTATCCAGGCAGGTTAGGGGTTGATAGGGCCTACTGAGGTCCCAGATCACCCCATACCCCTGCCACCTCATCCTACACATGATGTGTAAAGTGGGACCTCTGTTCCCCACCCTACAACTGTGAGCAGAACCCCTTCCTCTGCTCCAGCACAGCCACTGCCATAGAGCAGCTCCCCATGAATACCAGCTAATGCCCTCCTGCCCAGACCGCCCAGCTTGTAAGCTGGGTGCAAGGACCACCCCACAAGGGGTCGCCCAGGCGGGAGGAGTCCCCTACCCCTGGACAGCTCAGGCCCCAGAAAATGTGCATTCTGGGGTATAACTGGCTTCCAAGTACTGCCCAGGCCAGGCCCTGAGCCAACGCTCCTGGTCAGGTGTGCTCAGCCAACACCTGTTGCACCCTTCTGCCTCACCCCTGCCATCAGCTCAACCATGTCACCAGAAACTCACTGGCTGGACTTTCCACAAAAGGTCAGGCCCCACCAGAGGGCAGGGCACAGCCCTCCTTCTAACTCACATGAGCCAGAGGAAAGGGGTGATGTCACCTCAATGGAGGGAGGACAGGCTCCTGGGGCAACCAGCAGCAAGCCTGAACAGAGAAAATTTTCAAAACAAAAAAGATTCCACTGCAGGGAGGAGGGAGGTGAGCTTGGGAGCCTCTGAGTGCCCCCAAGTTTCCCTCCCCAATGCTCAGCCCCTGAGGCTTCGGGTCATGTGGCCCAGCCCACGAGCCAGTGATGCCAAGCCCTAGAGCGCGGGGCACTTGGGGCCGGCTCCTCTGGGAGCAGCACCTCTCCAAGTGCCAGGCATGAGCTCTGGGGTCAGGCAGCCAGGGTCCCAACTCCTGTTCCACCTCTGACTATCCTAGAGGCCTGGGCAAAGAGAAGGTCGTGCCAGCCCAGCTGGCCACTAGGCCCAGGAGCTCCTGAAGCATCAGGGAGAATCTTCTAGAGCATCAAAAAGAATCCACAACCCAGGACGCTTTATCATCCCCAGTCTATGGCAAAGGAAACTAGATATCAAGACCATCGTCATGGGAATAAACATAATAGGCACCGTCAGGAGCACTGATTCTAGGACAGATACTGTGCTCATTTAATCCTCCCAACATCCCATGGGGTGGGCACTCATATCAGTTCCACTTTATAAACAGAGAAACTGAGGTGCAAGAGGCTAAGCTGGCTAATCTGGTGAGTGACAGGGCTGTGTGGGGTTCCAGCGACTGTGCCCTGATCACTGCAGTCAATATGTAAGCCAGATTTCTCTTAGCGATGCAGTTCCCATCAGCTGAGCCAGAGCTGCTCCCTCTGCCAGCGCCACTCCCACCCCCACAGGGGAATGGGGCAGTTTGGGCCAGATAGGGACAAAGTCTGGCTGTGTCCAGAATGGCCCGGTGCAGGAACACTGTTTTATAAACACTAAACAGTCTGGGTTGGCCACTGGGCACTGTTGTGACCTTGACCCAGCCTGGCAGGAGGGCAGCCTGCCACCCACCCCCACCTGCATCCCAGCAGGGCATGAGGGCTCAGTATCTAGAGCCAGAGCCCAAGCCAGCCCTACTAGTTCCTGCCCATACAGTCAAGGACAGCAACAAGGAGTGAGAGTCAGGTGCCCTGTGCAACCCCCTGCCCAGTCCAGACTCCAGCAGAGTTGCCCTGGGTATCTCTTGGGGGTCTCTTCTCTGAGGACAAGGTCACATAGCATCCCCAACCCAACCTCAGAACCTCAACCCAACCCCAGAAAACTGCCGACACCATGGCCACTAAGACTCCCACACACACAACCCTGTCTGGGGTGCCCTAGTGAGGACTACTCCCTAATGCACCCATTGCAGAGATCAGTAAACAGAGGCCGGGAAGGGTTCTCCCCAGAGGGCCCTCCAAGCTGGGCAGCAGCAGAGCCTGGATTCTCTCAGCAGCAGGTCTACTCTGACCCCACTTTCTGAGAAGCAGATGAGCTTTTGCTCAGCAACAAACCGCAATTCTATTTAGTTGGGGCCTGTTCCAAGACACTGGGGAGGGGCTGCTAGGGCCTGCTTGAGCCAGGTGGCCGAGGGGCGTCAAAGGGTCTCTCCGGTTCGGCGAATGCGTACTGCAGCCTGCTGTGGCCTCGGGATTACCCCGTCCCCCTCCCACATCTCCCGGGGGGCGGAAGAAGCGCATCCCATGCAAGCAGCGACCTCAGGCCATGCCGCCCTCTCTCAGGCCTCAGTTTTCTCATCTGTAATCGGAGACCGCGGTTAAAACCGTCTATTAGGCTCCTTGGTAGTCCGAAGCTGCCTATGGGTCCCGCCAGGTGCACAGCGCTGACCCTCCCCATCCCCCGCACAGCCCTCGCAGCTCCGGGCCCTCCCCTGGCCACGGAAGGCGCGGGGCAGTCTGAAGTCCTCGGGCTGGAGAAACCCACCGCGAGCACCCGCTCCTCTGCGCAGGACCCTGGACTAGCCGGGTGGTACGCGCGCGATGGGCTGGGGGTCCCGGGGGAGGCCACGGCCAGCCAAGGTCAGAGCCAAGGTCACAGTCTGTTCCTCCTCCCCCTCCCCCCGGCGGGGCCAGACTCAGGGCTGCGGGCAGCGGCGCCCCAGGACCCAGGAGAGAGGAGCTGTGGGGCCGGTCCCCAGGACGGCAGGAGAAGCAGCGGCGCAGGGACCGGGAGGGGGCGGGCCGCCGCGCTCACCGGGCGGGCGGGCCGGGTCCGCGCTGCAGCGAGGTCCGGAGGCTGCAGGTCAGGGGGCTGCGCGGAAGGGGTGCGCGCGCGCCGTGCCAATTACCTGGGTCACGTGACGCAGCCGCCCACGGGCGCGCGCCCCTGAGACTCCGCGCGTCGTGACGTCTCCATGGATGCCCCGCCCCGCTCCTGGCGCTGTCCACGGTGCTGGCGGCCCAGGCCCGAGGTCGCCCACGGCCGAAGGGGGGACTCCTCTCTGAGACCGCAGAACGGGGCTGAGGCCCTGAACCCCGTGTGCTCGTCCTAAAACTAGGACGAATGTACCAGACGACAAGCAGCCTTTGTGTGTAGGAGAGGATAGGTTTTGTTTTGTCGTCTGTAAAATGGGAATGCTATGAAAAGTTCCACTATCTTAGGGATGTTTTGAAAAAAAGATGAGATAATGCGTGAAAAGTGCTTACCCCAAATCTGATACACATTTTACCCATTCATCCTCCCACTGATGGTGACCCAGGCTGTCCTCACCACCCCGTGGCCACAAACAAGGCTGCAATGAACTTCTTCATACACATTCCCTTAGGATCCTGCGTGGAACTTTCTCTGGGATAGAGATCAACTTTCTAATTATTATCAGAATAGCAGATGCAATGTCCTGTTATTGTTTTAATCTGCATTTCTCTGGTTATCAACCATTTGCATCTCCCGTTGTTTGTTAGTTTGGGGTTTTCTGTTGTATTTTTTTCAGCTTTCTGTTGGGTTTTGTTCTCATTTAAATGCAGGGATTTCTTGTATAGGAACATAACATACCTGTGGTTCAAGTTGCCATCAAATCTCTCCTGGATTATCGCAGCAGCCTCCTAACTGGCTTCTCTGCTTCTACACTTACACTCTTGAATTTTAATCTCAAAACTACAGTATGCACTTCACAAGAATATATTCAAGTACATATCAAACCAATTAATATGGTTGCTTGTCGAGGGAGGAGGATGGGGAATGTGGATATGAGGTAATTAATCAATTACCCAGATCACTGCTGACAGAGTGCCACGAAGAAAGGAATACAACTAACTTCTGCACCTGAAGTCTCCCA
This sequence comes from Homo sapiens, assembly GCF_000001405.40. NCBI lineage: Eukaryota > Metazoa > Chordata > Mammalia > Primates > Hominidae > Homo > Homo sapiens. The sequence goes on from NC_000010.11 coordinate 49,763,320, forward strand.
AAAGTTCTTTATTTGGAGACAGTTAGGGATACATGTGGTCAAGAATCTTCAGCACTTAACACAGCACTATCATGGTATTTTTCAGTAAATATTTGTTGAATGAATGACTGAGTGAGTAAATGGACACTTGACTTGGATCCTGAAGGATGAGTAAGATTTTATCTGGTGCAGAAGGGCAGGGTTCATTGGGAATTCTTTGGACACAAGCACCAAAAATGACCTGGCTAGCTTCAGCCGAAAACGAGTTGATATGAAGGTTGTATATAAGGCAACTCACAGAATCAGAGGAAAGCTGAAAATTTACTTCAGGAAGCAGGGCTGAGCCATAGAGGAACTGTCTCTTCAAGGCTCTTCTGTTTTTCAAAATTCAAATTCCGGGTGAGAGGCAGTAATGTACTTGCAGTAGAGACGGAGTAAGGTGGCCAGATTTGAGAGACTTACGGGGATCAGCTCCACGGGGTTTAGTGGTTGACCAGATATGAGGGTGGAGACATAGATAACTCACAGGTGTCTGGCTTTAGTGACTTGGGCACAGTGGAACTTCTCAGTGAGCTAGGGAAAAGGAGAAGCTGCAGTTTGGGGTAATAGTGGAAAAGTTTACAAGTCAGAGTCACCGATTAAGAAAGATGGAAAGCCTGACACAGAGCAGCAGGCAGGAACAAGGCTCTTGCAAATCAAAAGGCTTCAGAGCCTTTCAGCCTTCCAGCCTAATTGGTGTTCTGCTAATTGCATTGATTAAAGCAAACATTTGGGGCAATCAACGCTCCCATGAGGGTGGCTGCCATTCTCAGAAGCCTGAGAGGATTAGTGGCAGTGGCTGTAGGCTTTGCAGAGATCTTCAGAAACAGACACCTTTCTTTTTTTCCCATGCCTGTGGCGTGTGTGTGTGTGTGTGTGTGTGTGTGTGTGTGTGTGTGTCAGAACATGGAAGTTTTTATTTATTCTAGTTGTACAGAACTTAAATGATACAGAAGGATACAGAACAAAATGTGAAAAGCCCCCTTCCACCTGCCCCAACCTCACCTCTTTTTTTTCCTTCCAGAGATAACTACTGGCCAGTTTGGCAAACATTTTTACAAAATTGTTTATGTATTTATATCCATATGCTTCTACAAACATATACATAAAAATATGAAATGGATCACACTAGAATATAGTTCCACGACTTGTTTCTTTTTTTCCCTTGTCTTGAAGATTTTTATTTAAACTCAGTATGTGTAGGACCACCTCATTCTTTTTCATGGGTATGTTGTATTCATTATAGGGATGTATGGTGACTGTATGTCACTTCTCTCCCATTGAATGAACATTTCCATTTCTTTTGACATTTACAGAAAAAAAAGGAGAAAAGAGTCCTCCTATATATTCCCTTTAGTACATGCAAAACTACTATGGTAACATTGATTTCTCTTTCTTTCTTTCTTTCTTTCTTTTTTTCTTTTTTTTTTTTTTTTTCAAGATGGAGTCTTGCTCTGTCACCAAGGCTAGAGTGCAGTGGCTGGATCTCAGCTCACTGCAACCTCCACCTCCCAGGTTCAAGCAATTCTTCTGCCTCAGCCTCCTGAGTAGCTGGGATTACAGGCTCCCACCACCATGCCTCGCTAATTTTTTTATTTTTAGTAGAGATGGAGTTTCATCATGTTGGCCAGGCTGGTCTTGAACTCCTGACCTCATCATCCCCCACCTTGGCCTCCCAAGTGCTGGGATTATGGGAGTGAGCCACCATGCCCAGCCTGATTTCTAAATTAAGTTTAACAATGGGTCAAAAGATATATATTCTTTGCAGTTTAATATGTATAATAAATATCTAGTAAGACCGTTCCACTGAATACTTCCTCATTAGTGTTTTTGAGTTCCCACTCCCTTACATCCTTGCCAAGATTTATTATCAGTTTTCTTTCATTTATGCCAGTCTGATAGGTGAAAAATCACATTTTGTTTTAGTTAGCATAAAACTGATAAGCGAGTTTGAAAATCTCTCTTTTTTTGAGGTGGAGTCTCGCTCTGTCACCTAGGCTGGAATGCGATGGCGTGATCTTGGCTCACTGCAAACTCTGCCTCCTGGATTCAAGCTATTCTCCTGCCTCAGCTTTCCAAGTAGCTGGGACTATAGGCACACACCACCATGCCCAGCTAATTTTTGTATTTTTAGTAAAGACAGGGTTTCATCATGTTGACTAGGCTGGTCTTGAACTCCTGACCTCAAGTGATCTGCCCGCCTTGGCCTCCCAAAGTGCTGGGATTATAGGCATGAACCACCGCACCCGGCCTGAAAATCTTTTTATATGTTTTTATATGTTTCTTTTTATATGTTTCTTATTTTGTATTCTTTTTCTACAAATTGCCTATTGATAGACTTTGCTCATTTTTCTATCAGGTTGTTTATATTTTGCTTGAATTCACATAAACTCTGTACATATTCTGAATAAGAATATTTTGTAGGTTGTAAATGTTGCAACATTTCTCCCAGTCTGTCACTTGTCTTAACTTTGTTTATAGATGCTTTGGCCACATTTTCATAGCTTTGATTACAGTCTATTATTATAATTTTTCTTTTATAGTCTTACTTATTGTTGTTAATCTCTTACTAGGCCTAATTTATAAATTAAACTTTATCATAGGTATGGGCCAGGCATGGTGGCTCACACCTGTAATCCCAGCACTTTGGGAGGCCAAAGCAAGTGGATCACCTGAGGTCAGGAGTTTGAGACAAGCCTGGCCAACATAGTGAAACCCCATCTCTACTAAATATACAAAAAATTAGCCGGGTGTGGTGATGGTTGCCTACAATCCCAGTTACTCGGGAGGCTGAGGCAGGAGAATCACTTGAACCCAGGAGGTGGAGGTTGCAGTGAGCTGAAAGAGTGCCACTGCATTTCAGCCTGGGCAACAGAGTGAGACTCCATCTCAAAAAAAAAAAAAAGAAAAAGAAAAAGAAAAAAAAATTATCATAGGTATGTATAGGAAAAAACAGGGTATATATAGGGTTTGATACTATGTGAGGATTTGGGCATCCATGGGGGCCTTGGAACGTATCTCCCCAGGATAAGCACAAACTACTATATAAAACATTTCTATCACCACAAGGATCCCTCAAAATGCCCTTCTATAGCCACACCTATTTCCCTCCCACATCACCTCCTCCTTAACCCCTCCAAACCATTAATCAGTTCTCCATCTCTATAATTTTGCATTCAATAATGTTATATGTAAGTGGCATTATAGGGTAGGTAGGCTTTTAGGATTAGCTTTTTTTCATTCAGTATAGTTCTTCGGAGATTCATGCAGGTTGTTGTGTGAATCAGTCATTTGTCTCTTTTTATTGCTGAGTAGTATTCCATGGTATGGATGTACCACAGTTTGTTTAACCATTCACTCATAAAGGGCATCTGGATTGTGCTCAGATTTTGGCTATTACAAATAAACCTGCTATGGACATTTATGTTCAGATTTTTGTGTGAACATAAGTCTTCATTTCTCTGGGGTAAATGCCTTGGAGTGCAATTGCTGGGTCGTATGGTAGTTGCATGTTTCATTTTTTATAAACCTTCTGCTCTTTTCTAGAGTAGATGTGCCACTTCACAGTCCCATCAACAATGTGTAGGTGATACAGTTTCTCTGCATCCTCACCGGCATTTGGTGCTGTGTGTTACCCATCCTGATAGGTATGTCATGATATCTTATTGCGGTTTTAATTTGCATTTCCCTGATGGCTAATGAGCATCTTTTCACGTGTGTGTTTGTAATCTGTATATCCTCTTTGGAGAAATGTCTCTTTATGTCCTTTAGACCTTTTCTAATTGGATCACTCTTTTTTTTTCTTACTGTTGAGTTTGAGAGCTCTTTGCATAGTCTAGATGCTAGACTTTGTCAGATACGTGATTTGCAAATATTTTCTCTCGGCCTGTAGCTTGTCTGTTCATCCTCTTAGTAGGGTTGTGCACTGAGCAAAAATTTGTAATTCTGATGAAATCCAATATATCATTTTTTCATTTTATGGCTCATGTTTTTGGTGTTTAGTCTGAGATTTTTTTTCACCTCACCCTAGATCCTGAAGATTTTCTCCTATTTTTCTAGAAGTTTTATTGTTTTACATTTTGCATTTTGGTTCATTATCCTTTAATTTTTGTATAAAATGTGAGATTTAGGCTGAAATTCTTTTTTTTAACCTATGGACGGTCCATTGCCCCAGTACCATTTGTTGAAAGGCTGTTCTTCCCCCATTGAATTGCTTTTGCACTTTTGTCAAAAAATCAGTTGAGCACATTTGTGCGGGTCTGTTACTGGGTTCAGCTTTATGGAGATATAATTCACATACCATACAATTCACCCGTGATATAATATATCATTCAATTCTTTTTTAAGCATATCCATAGAGTTGTGCAACCGACTGTGCAATTTTAGAACATTTCATTATCTGACAAAGAAACCTTTGAAAGGGGAATTTTACCACCTTAAGAATATCAAGTTGATCCAAGACCTGCATCATACTGAAAATCTTCTGTGGGTGCCCCGAAGTGCAGAAGGCGCCTCCTCTGATAAGCCTGTGATACAGCAGGTGTTGATCCTAGGCCCGGCTGGTCAGCTTCTCCACAAGGCTGCCCTCTGACAAGCTCTGCGCTTCCACCACTGCCTCCCACAGGCCTCTTCTGCTCCCAGCCTTGGCCTTTGGGCCACAACCTCCAGAATACCCATGGTTTTCCTCCCTGAAAGATGGAGCCCCTAGGGCAACCATCTGCTCCTGTCCTCCAGCTCCATTGCAGCCGGCCTTTCCACCAGCCCCAGTCCAGGTGGGACAGGACATGGAGACAGCAGGGACTCGAGTTTCCGTTTGGAGGCGGCAGGATTCAGAGGCAAATTCAGCCCCTTAAACCTCTGCTGCCGCCTCCCCTGCAGCAACTGAGGCCTCCCACCTCTCGGAGCGAACCCCCAAGGAGAGCACAGCCAAGATTTTGGACTTCAGGAAACAGCATCCAGGCCATCGCTTGCCCTCGGGCTGAAGGCCACGCATCCCTGCCCGTCCCCTCACAGGCGGCTGCACGCTCCGGCCCTCGCCCCAGCCCTCAGGGCCCCGGCGGGAAGCCCCTCTCTGAGCAGGCCTGGCCGGGTTGTGCCCTCCTGCGGAGTCCCCAAGGGGCGGGGAGCCCGCGCCTGCCTAGCCCGGCTCTCAGGACACCTCTGTCTGCGTCTCCTTCGTCGCCACTCCGGGTTTCGACTCCGCGTGGCCAGGCACCCCGGGTCACCACCTCTCGACCCAGGGCGAGCTCACGCCGCCGCCTGCGCGCTGAACTGGGAGCTGGGAGCAGCCGACATCGGTCTCTGAAACCCTGCGCTGGGAGGCCCTCGGCTGGGCGAGGATTCCTGGGCGCTGAACAAGTTTTCCCGGCGGTGTCTGTCCGAGCGCAGACAGAAGCCGCGCGAGGGAACGCGGGGTCGTGTCCTGGGGCGGCGGGGAGGGGCTGGGAGGGCGGGTGTGCAGGGGCCTGGGCTGCCCGCCGGCTAGGGGCGGCCACCTTGGCCGGAGATCCGACGCGCGGGGACTCCCGGTCCGCGCTCCTCCAGCAGGCCGGATCCGCGCGGCAGTCCTGGGCTCCGCTCCTCATCCTCCTGCCGCGGCCGCGCCCCGCTGGGGAAGGTGCGAGGTGCGGCGGACGAGGACGATTCTTGACGCTGAGCCTGTGGGCCAGGCCCGCGCCCACCACAGGAATCTCTCCCGGGAAAGCCCGGAAAGATGCCAGCGGCCCCTGAAGCAGGGAGACCCCTGCGCGTGCGCTTCTGAGGCAGATGCATCAGGGAGGCCTTCCTGGGCGAGAGGGAAAGGATAATGGAGTGAGGGGAGTGTTGTGGACCAAGGCCTGGAGGGCGAGCAAGGGTCTGGGGTGTCTGGCGATACTGGGTGGAGGGAAGGGGGTTCTCTGTGGCCGGCATCAGGTGCTCCAGGGCAGGGCTTGGAGATAGCCAGGCCCAGCCAAGGGTCTCAAACGTTCTACCTGACGTTTCAGTCCTCAAACCGCTGTAGGGCCTCTTCAGGGTTTCAGCAGGAGACGCAGTCAGATTTTGTAGAAAAGTCATTCTGACCAGGCGCAGTGGTCACACCTGTAATCCCAGCATGCTGAGAGGCTGAGGGGGGCGGATGACTTGAGGTCAAGAATTTGAAACTAGCCTGGCCAATATGGTGAAACCCTGTCTCTACTAAAATAAAAAAATTAGCCGGGCGTGGTGGCGCGCCCCCGTAATCCCAGCTACTCAGGAGGCTGAGGCAGGAGAATTGCTTGAACCTGGAAGGCGGAGGTTGCAGTGAGCTGAGATCATGCCACTGCACTCCAGCCTGGACGACAGAGTGAGACACCGCCTCAAAAAAAAAAAAAAAAAAATAGCCAGGCATGGTGGCGAGCGCCTGTAATCCCAGCTACTCTGGAGGCTGGCAGGAGAATTGTTTGAATCCGCGAAGCGGAGGTTGCAGTGAGCCGAGATCTCGCCACTGCATTGCGGCCTAGGAAAGAAAGAAAGAGAGAAAAAGGGAGAAAGAAAGGGAGAAGGGGAGAGAGGGAGGGAGGAAGGGAGGAAAAAGAGAGGAAGGAGGGAGGAAAAAGAGAAAAAGGAGAAAAGAAAAAAAAAGGAAATGAAGGGAGGAAGGAAGGAAAAGAAAAGTCATTCTGGAGGCTGGTGGATAACTGGTGAGCTCCCATAAGCACCCCAGTGAATGGAGGTTTCACCAGTGAGGCCTGGGGAGGAGGGACCTGTGCAGAGCATTACAGAGGCAGGGTCAGTGGGGCTGGGACAGCTTGGCTTTGGGTAGTAAGAGAAGAAGAGTCAAGGATGTCTTATGGCCCCTGAAGGTGTGCTCCAGGCCCCCTGCCTCTATGGGGCACAGTTACCACCTCTTAGGAGGCCTCACCTTATGCAGAGTTGGGCCTTAATATTTATTTGAGGCCAAGAGAATTGTTTCCTCACTACCCTCGGAGAACTAACCTGATCTTGCTGTACAGAGACATAAGCAGTCCCTGCCTTCACAGTAGTTTCAGAGTACAGATGACTTCTGGCAGGTGCAGGGAGCACCCTCAGCTCTGAATAGGCAGAGAAGACAGAGAGACCAAAGAATAAAACAAAAGAAAGAACACTGACATGGTTAACAAATCAGACAGAAGGTAAGGTCTCTTAACCGAGTGTCTTTTTGTTGTCTTTTTTGTTGTTGTTGAGACAGGGTCTCGCTCTGTCACCCAGGCTGGAGTGCAGTGGCATGATCACGGCTCACTGCAACTTCCACCTCCTGGGCTAAAGTGATGCTCTCACCTCAGCCTCCCAAGTAACTGGTAGGACAGGCACGTGCCACCATGCCTGGCTAATTTCTGTGTGCTTTGTAGAGACAGGGTTTCACCATGTTGCCCAGGCTGGTCTCAAACTCCTGAGCTCAAGCGATCCACCTCCCAAAGTGCTGGGATTACAGGTGTGAGCCACTGCACCTGGCCCATTAATTGAGTGTTTTTTAGAGTCCAGATTTTCTTTTCAATTGCAATGTCAATACATGCTCATTATAAAAACACTAAAAAGCACAAAAAAATTGTAAAAGGAAAGAATATTCATATTTTCCTGTTTAAACTCAACCACCTTAGTTGAGTTTATCATTTAGTGTTTTCCTTCCAATTTTTCTTCCCTTACATGGTATTCAAACTTTTACCAAAGTTGTGGTTATACTGTCTTCACAATTTGCAGAGTCCCTTTTCACTTAAGATTATCTCAGAAGCGCTCTCTCATGGGTCATGGTTACATGGCAGCTACCGCGGCAAAGCGAGAGCCTCAGAGACGCCACTGCGGCCAGCACAGCCGGAGACCTGAGCTGGGGGCTGTCTGCAGGCCCTGCACTCTCTCGATGAGTTGGAGAAGTCCCATTGTATCAGAGTAAGATGGACGGTAGCTTTGATTGTGATTGTGGTGAGCTGGAGCCACCTGATCACTAACAAAAGACACCTTCTGTTAACCAACAGCCGCCAGGGCTTCCTGTTGAAATATATAGCAACAAAGGAAGAAAAGAAGCAAAACGGAAATAGTGCTTAACAGCACCTTAGAATGATGCTGCTCAGGACCAGTCCAACACTGAATGTATATGCACTGTGAGGAGAATGTTCATAGAAGCCTGTTGTGTGCATATTTATTCACATTTTTGTTAAATGTTAAATCGTTTAGCACAGTAATCTGAGTGCATAGTATATCATTTCATTCCGTTTGAGTTTCTTGAGTGTTTTCTTTAAATGTCTGCAGAGTTGCTGCCCCTTTCTTGGACTATGAGTACTGCAATCTTTTTAATTCTCAATATGAGTAGAGCTTTTTGAGCTTTAAATCTAAGGGAAACTCAACAGGCCTGTTTGGCGTATGCAATGAACATCAAGAAACCATCTTGCTGTGGAAGCATAATTATTTTTTTTTTCTCTCTTTTTGAAAGATCTTTCCTTTGGATGCCAGTTTTCTTCCTTGTTTACACAAGTTCAACAATTCAAAAGGAAAAGGCAATATAATTGGCAATGATTGGCCTATACATAACAACTTTGATATTGATGAAGTTCAGCTTGATCCAAGAGCTCTGTCTGATGCCACTGATGAAGAAGAAGTACAGGTTGACCCCTGAAAATATTTGGATGGAGATCGGGAAAAGTATCTGGAGGATCCTGCTTTTGATACCAATTACTCTACTGAGCCTTGCTGGCAGTACCCAGATCATCATGAAAACAAATATTGCGATCTGGAGTGTAGCCATACTTGTAACTGCAAAACGAGGTCATCATCATATTTAGATAACTTAGTTTGGAGAGAGAGTGAACCATTACTATGAACCCAAGCTTATTATAGATCTTTCCAATTGGAAAGAACAAGCAAAGAAAAATCTGATAAGGCAAATCAAAATGTGAAAGGAATGGATTGGTTAAAGCCAGATAGCACTAAAGGAAGCATCACAGCAACTGGCTGGAAAAGAAAGGGAAAAGAATCATGGATTTGATTTTGATTCCTTTATTGCAGGAACTATTCAACTTAGTTCCCAACATGAGCCTACTGATGTTGTTGATAAATTAAATGACTTGAATAGCTCAGTGTCCCAACTAGAATTGAAAAGCTTGATATCAAAGTCAGTAAGCCAAGAAAAACAGGAAAAAGGAATGGCAAATCTGGCTCAGTTAGAAACCTTGTACCAATCTTCTTGGGACAGCCAGTGTGTGAGTGGTGGGGAGGACTGTTTTCTCATCAATCAGTTTTGTGACGTAAGGAAGGATGAACAAGTTGAGAAAGAAAACACTTACACTCGTTACTTGGACAAGTTCTTTAGCAGGAAAGAAGATACTGAAATGCTAGAAACTGAGCCAGTAGAGGAAGAAGAGCTTGGGGAGAGAGGAAATGAGGAAAGGTTTCTGAACAACAGTGGGGAGTTCCTCTTTAACAAGTTTCAGTCGCGTCCATGTGAAGAGACCACCAAACAGGCTTTGTGTGAGCAACAAGGCTGTTTATTTCACCTGGACGCAGGCGGGCTGAGTCCGAAAAGAGAGTCAGTGAAGGGAGATGGGGTGGGTCTGTTTTATAGGTTTTGGGTGGGTAAAGGAAAATTACAGTCAGAGGGGGTTGTTCTCTGGCTGGCAGGGGTGGGGGTCACAAGGTGCTCAGTGTGGGAGCTTGTGAGCCAGGATGAGCCAGGAGAAGGAATTTCACAAGGTAATGTCGTCAGTTAAGGCAGGAACAGGCCATTTTCACTTCTTTTGTGATTCTTCAGTTACTTCAGGCCATCTGGATGTATACGTGCTGATCACAGAAGATATGATGGCTTAGCTTGGGCTCCGAGGCCTGACAAAAAGCAGCTCGAGTCCATAGGCATCCCGCAGTTTCACAGTCCAGTTGGGTCACCACTTAAGTCAACACAGGCCACATTAACACCTTCTGCTATGAAATCTTCCTCTAATATTCCTCATCAAACATACAGTAGCAGTCTGAAACTTCTGAACTAAAACACTCAGCAGACATTTATCTTTGTATTCTGCATGAAATGTGTTTTGTCTTTTTTTATTACTAGTGTTTAAGTCATTTTTTACTTGAATCAGATGGTGTCATTTAGTAAGGATTTTATTAGTTCTTGGCTTTTAAAATCCAGACTTTCTTTTTCTACATGTGAGATAGTTTTTATTTTAACTGGCATGTCATTTGCTCACAAAAGTAAAGACTAGAGCAAAATAATGCAATGCAGGAGAAAAGAAATGCACTAAGACAGGTAAAGAACATTCTCTCATAGAACAATGATCTGTTTTACAGGAAACAAACCTTGCCTTGAAATTTACACAGTGAGACTGTACATAATTGCATGAAAATAGCTATTTTTTCTAAGACATTATTCATTCATGAGTATTTTCAAGTTTTTCATACTGTACACATTTCTCAAAACACATGATACCAGCAGCAACTGAAAATGAATGCTGAATTTGGTACACATGTGTTATCTACCTCAAGGTAACAAGAGTATGTGGCAAAACATATACCACCATAGTGCTTCACAATATGCACTTCTATTTAGCCAGCGTTTATTGTAGTAAACTATTCTTAATAAGACTCATTCACTGTTTATAAATGTTCTGGTATGCATTCTTTATAGTGAAGTGTTAATACATCGCATCTTATTTATTTTAGTATATTTTCTGTATTTAATTATTAAAATTAACTTAGTTTTTAAAATGTATTTGTAAATACACTTTTTCCATTTGACACTATGGTTTGTTGCTTTCCTAGCTGAATCTATAATGTCAGCTTATCCTAAGCCTGTCCACATACTTAATTTACTTAAGTGTTCATTTTAAGTAACATGCTCACTGTGTATAAGAATTTGTATTTTGGAGGTGCTTGATCTATCTACAAAGAAAAATTAATTAGGAATTACTTTATTATAAAATGATCCGAGAAGTTTGTGTTTATTTAAAAAAAAGTTAGAATTGTGTACATGGAAGTAATTAAGGTACATCATTATTGTACTTTAAAAGTTGTACATGATAAGACATTTTGTTTTTACTGTATGTTTTTACTGAATGATCTATTCCCCATCCCAAGGCAAGCATGAATAAAGTTAGGTTAAATGAAAAAAAAAAAAAAAGATTATCTCAGGAGCATTTTTCCATCATATGATAAACTTGCAGGTAATTACAATATTGAGCAGGTCACTCAGTCCTGGTCTGCCAGATTTAGCTTCATTCTTGAACCCCAAATTCCAGTGAATCTACAAATATGAATGCAGATGCCACTTGGTTTCCTTTCCTTTTGCATTATAATAAAAATTAAGAAAGCTGGCTCTGACATTTATTAATCCTCTTCTTTTCTGAAAAATCTTTAGGCAATGATAAACACAGTGCCTTAGAAATACCAGCAGGATAATTAACTTCCAATGGAAGCAGGGAGGAAGTATGGGCTGAGGTTAGTTAATAAGATTGGGAGAGCCTCCTATATTATATGAAGTGTGTGGGCTAGAGATGACGGCCTTAGGGAATAATCAATGTCATTGTTGGTTGGGTTCGATTGATTTCATAAGGAAGTACTGAGCTATTGAAACATCGGCAGATCAAGACATCACTTCATTATTTAAACTCCACCAAGAGAGTTTGCAACATGTTCTCAGTGGTTGACCTGGGAGGGGAAAGGAGACATTTGTCTGTCCTTATTCACACCATGAATCACAGCTAGAAAGAGGGTCTCTGTTGACCACTCAGGAAGCTCCAGGAAACAGGCCTTAAGTTTTGAGCTCAGAGACTCAGTAGCAGAGTGTTCAATGTCTTCTAGAAACTGGACTTCATCGTTGTCTATGTCTTTGCTATTCAGACTTTGATCCACAAACCAGAAGCATCAGCATCATCTAGGAGTTTGTTAGCAATGCAGAATCCTAGCCCCACCCTAGACCTACTGAATCAGAATCCATATTTAAACAATATTCCCAAGTGACATGCACATTAAATTTGAGAGGCACTGCTCTCTGTAATATCAAGAATGTTTCAGCCCTTTAGAGAAAATTATGCCCTAGGTAAGGCTGTCAACAAAAAGGATGCATAAAAAGGACCAACTTCGTGGCTTAATTTTCAGTGAGTTCATCTTTAAATATGTTAAATAAAAACTCCATCTTTACTTAAACAATTGAACAAGCAGAAAACAAATAACCCCATTAAAATGGGGCAAAAGACATGAACAGGTGCTTGTCAAAAAAAGACATACAAGTGGCCAAAAAACATGAAAAATTGTTCATCATCACTAATCATCGGAGAAATGAAAATCAAAACCACAATGAGATACCATCTCACACAGTCAGAATGGCCATTATTAAAAAGTCAAAAAACAATAGATGTTGGCAAGACTGCAGAGAGAAGAGAACGCTTACACACCACTTGTGGTGATGTAAATTAGTTCTGCCACTGTGAAAAGCAGTTTGGGATTTCTCAAAGAACTTAGAACTGCCATTCAGCCCAGCAATCCCATTAGTGGGTATATGTCCAAAAGAAAACAAATTGTCCTACCAAAAGACACATGCACTTGCAGGTTCATTACAGCACACTATTCACAATAGCAAACTCATGGAATGAATCTGGGTGCCCATCAACAGTGGATTTGATAAAGAAAATGTGGTATGTATACACCACAAAATCTTACACAGCCAAAAAAGAAAAAAAGAATAATATCATGTCCTTTGCTGCAACATGGTTGCAGATGGAGGCCATTATCCTAAGTGAATTAAAGCGGGAATAGAAAAACCAGATACCGCATTTACTCACTTATAAGTGGGAGCTAAACATCAGGTACACATAGACATAAAGACGGCAAGAATAGACACTGGGGACTACTGGGGGAAGGCCAAGGTTGAAAAACTAACATTGTCAGTACCTGGTCAGTATCAAGGTACCATGGTCAGTACCTGGATGATGGGACCATTTGTATCCCAAACCTCAGCATCACAAAATATACCCACATAACAAACATGCACATGTACCCTCTGAATCTAAAATAAAAGTTGAAAAAGAAAAACAATTAAAAAAAAAAAAAACCTCCATCTTGTCCGGGTGTGGTGATGTACCTGTATTCCCAGCTATTTGGGAGGCTGAAGCAGAAGAATCTCTTAAGCCCAGGGGTTCGTGCTCAGCATGGACAACATAGCAATAGCTCATCTCTAAAAAAAATAAAAAAACAACTCCATCTTGCCTATCTATGTTCAAGAGTTCCAATATTTGGAAACATTTTTCCTTTTGCCACTTCCTCAGAGGCAGTTATTTCTTTTCCAAGTGCCACTAGGGAGTGTTTCCTACTATGACTTTTATGGAAGACCACAGAAATATGAAATGGGAAGGCCTTGCTTGTGTGTGGTTCACAAACAGGCATTTCTTTTTAGGAGTTTGCATTGCATTAATATCTACATTTTAAAATAACACATTTTTAACGTTTTTATTATTGTTAATCATTTATGTCTGGCTCCATTCTTCTCTTTGGCCTCTCATCCTTCCATGGTCATATCAGGGCCAAAGAAATAAATCTCTCGGAGGTTGGCTAATTGTTGTCTTAATTTCTAAAGCTGGAGATTTTAGCATAATTACTAAAGGAAATGAGATCTGGCTGCATCACGCAAGAAAAGTGAATGCACTTGTCCCACCAAGTGTGGAACAGTGGGCAGCCAGAAAGCAGCTGAACTTTCAGGACCAAAGGCAGCGCCCGGACCTCCACTCTTTTGCCATCTGGTGACCTGGCAGCTTCTGCCACTGCAGGCACAATTCCCAGCTCTGGATTTACAGCATCTCAGGGAGCCACAGAATCTCAAATGTCTCTAGACTTCAGAATTAATTCATTAAAAAAAAATTAACTAATGTGTAGCACTTTACAGTCAGGGGAGTAGAATGTTATAAAAGCCAAATAAATGATCTTATGCTACAGAGCACAAAATATGGAAAGTGACAAGATGGTATTTAACCATGGTGGCTCAACCAAGACCGATATGGCAGTACTCTCCTTTGCCAAGCCTTCCACCTCCCTATACATCTCTGCTAGCATCTCTTTCCTCCTCCTCTGCCCAGAGCTACGGGCTCTGAGGGGGTTAATTACTGGGTGACCTGGTAAAGGACTCTGAGGCATCTCAGGGCATCCAGATTATAGGAGTATCCATACAGCCAATTGTAAATACATATCAGAAACCTCAAAATGTCCACTGTGGAATGCTCTGTTGGGAAATCTATCCCAAATAAGCAAGTTTAAAAATAGCAAAGTTACACACATGGAGATGTTTCTTGCAGCATTGTTTAGAATAGCCCTAAGTTAGAAACAACCTAAAAGTCTAATTGTAGGGAAATGGCTAAATAAATTAATATACAGCTATATGATGGCTTATTTTCTAATCTTTAAGAAATGTGTTCATGAAGAGTGTTACATTGAAAAATGCTTCTGATAGAATGCTATTATAGTCAATACTTATAAAGCACTTACTGTGTGCCAGGTATTAAGTGCTTTAAAATTTTGAATTTAATTTATTTAATTTTCACAAGTCTATGAGGAAAATATTGTTATTATTATCCCCTTTTTGAGGAAACTAAAACACGGAGAGATTAGACCAGCCCAGGGTCTAATGCCAGTAAGGGATAGAAAAAAATTCAAACTTGTGTGTACAATATAAACTCACCTACACATATATACACAGAAAGACACAATTTTAACATCCTCCTTTTTAAAAACTTTTTTCTTGAGCTGTAACTTATATGTTAGGTTGGTGAAAAAGTAATTGCTGTTTTTGCCATTACATACAGTTAAGTACATCAATCTTATGTGCACGGCTTAATTTTTACATGGTATACACCCATGTAACTGCGATCCAGATAAGCACAAAGATAGTTTCCAGCATCCCCAGAAGGCTCCCAGGTACTGCCTCCCAATCAGTGCTTCCCAGAGGCAGCCATCATTCTGATCTCTATCACCATAGGTTAACTTGGGCTGGTTTTGAACTTTATATAAATGGAATAGTGCAGTATAAATCTCTTGTATCTGATTTCTTTCAATCAACATTATGCTTGTAAGATTCATCTTTATTGGATGTCTTGGTCATTTTCATTGCTGTATAGTATTCCATTGTATGAATATACAGCAATTCATTCGCCCATTCTACTCCTGTTGGACTTCAGAAATTTTTTCTACTATAAATAATGGTCTATGAATATTCTAGTACGTGTCTTTTGGTGGACCTAAGCCCTCATTTCTATTAGATACATTTCCAAAAGTAGAATTGCTGAGTCTCGGGGTATGGTAGATACTGCCAAATGGTTTTTCCATTTGGTATGGCAGTATCATAGGAGAAAAGCCATGACACAGGAAGTGATGGAGGACTTAACACTAAACTCCAGATCCATCACTGAGTCACCCTGGATCTCAAGCGTGTAAATTGTGGGGTGAAACAACCTTATATGAAGTATTTGGTGTGCGCGGGGAGTGATATAAAGGTGTGCAAAAGTCTTCTAAAGAACTATTTTTAGGCCGGGCACAGTGGCTCACGCCTGTAATCCCAGCACTTTCGGAGGCCGAGGCGGGTGGATCACCTGAGGTCAAGAGTTTGAGATTAGCCTGGCCAACATGGTGAAACCCCATCTCCACTAAAAATACAAAAATTAGCTAGGCGTGGTGGCAGACGCCTGTAATCCCAGCTACTCGGCAGGCTGAGGCAGGAGAATCGCTTGAACCCAGGAGGCGGAGGTTGCAGCGAGCCGAGATTGCACCACTGCACTCCAGCCTGTCGACAGAGCGAGACTCCATCTCAAAAAAAAAAAAGACAGTGCTAAAAGACTTTCAGGACAGTTAAAACTATTTTAACGGTAGATATATGTCATTTGACGTTTGTCTAAACTCATAGAATGTACAACATCAAGATGAACCCCAATGTAAATGGTGGCCTCTGATGACATGTCAATGCAGGTTCACCCACTGTAACAAATGCGCCACTCTGGTGCTAATGTTAACAGTTGGGGAGGCTCGGGGGTGGATATATGGGAACTCACTGCACTTCCTGCTCAATTCTGCAGTGCATAGAAAACTCCTCTACAAAACAAAGTCTATTTTTAAAATTAAAAAACTTTAAAGATGGTGCCAAACACAATGCCCAGCACGTAGCAACTGCCCTGTGAACATCAGCTGCAACTGTGGCATTATCATTATCATTATTATTGTCTTGCTGCTAGGGCCGTGTTCCTGGAGAGATGCCCCTGTGAGCCGTTTTGGGAACTTACAGATGGCACCTGAATCTTCTGGTGGTCTCCTAAATGAGCCCTGTCCCCCACCAGGCCAAAGCCACACCACCCTTGGCAGAGCTCCCACTTGCCTGTCTGCCACACTTGCTTCCTTACCATTTTTTGTTCTTCATACTTAATTGCCTGGTTTGTTGAACTGTACTCAAAACACCTATTTTACTAGAAAACCTAAACCAAGGTCCTTTGAGCTCAATCAAAGGCATCTTATCCAGTTAATAGAAACGTTTTAGAAATTTAAATCCATTGCCTTTAGATTGGGCATGTCAACTCTACTTGTTCACAGACCTCACTATTCCCTACTACTTTCCTCTCTCCAGGTTGTGTAACCCCCCTGGCTCCTGCAGTTATCTGTCTTATTGGCCCCTGACATAAATTCTGTATGAATCTATCATTATTTTCAGACTGATAATGACTTTTTGTCAAGTGTTAGGATAAGAAAGGAGTGTGCTGAGGAAGGCCAAGTCTTCAGCTTCTAGCATTTCAGGGTCTCGTTCAGTCCATTTCAACCCTTCTCTCCTTCTCCCTTCTTTTTTTTCTCTCTCTCCTTTCTCTCCTTCTTTCTTTCTCTCTCTCTCTCTCCTTTCTCTGTCTCTCCTTCTTTCTCTCCCCTTTCTCTGTCTCTCCTTCTTTCTCTCCCCTCCTCTCAGATATCTAGCACCTACTCTGTGCTATGCCAAGGGATGCAGATCTGAGCTTACAGCCCTGGGGAACCAGCCCCTAGGGATTCTGGCTAGGGAAGGAGATGGGGATCAGAGGGAAGGGAAACTCGTACCACGTGGAAACCACACCCAAAGGTACTGGATCCACTGACCTTGTCTCCACCACCCTAGAGGAACTTCTGGATGGGCAGCTCTGAGAACATAGCTCACCTCCAGCTGGGGAGGAGCTCCTGTCCTTATGTGCTCTCCTGCAGCTTCCAATGGAGAAGAGCCCAAAGACACAGTATCTCCTCTGTCCCCAGAGTTCTTGCCAGAGTCTTGTCAAGGGGTCTTGACAGGGCTAAGCATCAGCCGTCAGCCTCCTAATGGGACAATCTTGAGGGGCTGGACCCCACACTGGTCTGGGAGACCTCCTCCGGGTACACCCACAGGTTCGATTTCTAAGATCCCGGCATCCAAGACTGCTCTAATTGATTCACTGGAGTCACTGACTTGGAACAAAATACTTTTATAAGTATTTAGTTGGTAAGTCTAGCTATTATTAACATGCAATAATGAATTGCTAATAAGAAAACTAAATCAATCTAAGGAAATCTCAAATTGGGACCTGCCAGAAATAGAAGAAAGATCTCAGTCTCCAAGTCTAAATTATTTCACCGACAAACCTCTAGAAAAAAGAAATAGCTTTCAGGTTCAGCTCTTGGGTGCAAAGCTCTTTGGGAGCATTCATACGACTTGAATGGAGCTGTGGTACATGGAGAGGGGACTGGACTGGGAATAGCAGAGGCAGGGTTGGCGGCCAGTCCTCCTGATCCCCAGCCCAACACCCCCAGCTGCTCCCTCCTAAATAGGACGTGGCTCCCCTCAAACAAAACGTACATTCGATTGCCCATATTAAGTGCTTGATAAATGTGTGGAATTTAATGGAAATGACTATGGAAGGAATGAAGTAAGTTTGCTACATGAACAAGACTCTGCCTCAAAAAAAAAAACTACTTTTAGTCATTAAGGTCTGATCACTTCTGCTATGCATGGTGGCAGATACATGGTGGCTTTTCCTTTGATGAATTATGTTTTCTTTGCCATTTCTGAGATTATTATAGCTTAGCTGTGTCTGAACACTGACATCAAATTACAAGATGCATGAGTCATCATGGAAGAGACCCAAGGGAAAAAAGCAGGGCCTAATAAACTAGCCTCTGGGTCACAGCCTAACAGCATCCTTCTCCAAAGGGATGAGCTAAGCCTGCAGCCAGACATTGTCAGTGACTATTAAGGAGATCTGAATGCAAAATGTGAATGTCACCTGAGTCAGGATTAGTGGATGCATGAGACTCTCCTTTTCCTAGCAAGTAGATTCTTACCTTACTGAGTTCTACTCTGTGCTAGGGACATGATCCCTGCCCTCAGGCGTCTCACAGTCTGCACAGCAGAAACAGATAAATAAACGGGAAATCATGACCCAGCATAATAAGTCATGTCTGATGGAAACTGCAGGGCCCAGGGCCTAAGAAGGGCAGATTTTAATGTCTTGAAGAATTTAAGCTGACCACCAATGTTGAGAGGTGAAGCCAGCTGGACTTCCTGGGTCAAGTGGGGACTTGGAGAACTTTTCTGTCTAGCTAGAGGATTGTAAATGCACCAATCAGCACTCTGTGTCTAGCTAAAGGATCATAAATGCACCAATCAGCACTCTGTAAAATGGACCAATCAGCACTCTGTAAAATGGACCAATCAGCAGGACGTGGGTGGGGACACATAAGGGAATAAAAGCTGGTCACCCCAGCCAGCAGCAACAATGCTCTGATCCCCTTCCGTGTTGTGCAGGCTTTGTTCTTTGGGTCTTCACAATAAATCTTGCTGCTGCTCACTCTTTGGGTCTGTGCCACCTTTAAGAGCTGTAACACTCACTGTGAACCTCCATGGCTTCATCCTTGAAGTCAGCGAGACCAAGAACCCACTGGAAGGAACCACCTCCGGACACATGTGAGTCAAGAAGAAGGGCAATAGAACTTTTGAGCAAATAGCGATGCACCTGAAATTTTTTAAAAGTTAGCTTTCAGAGGCTAAAAGAGGCCTTTGAGTCTCCCAGACACAGGAAGTGTATTACAGGGAGACTAGTTCTAACCATCAGGTTCAAGAGCAAGGGGTTGCACATGTAAGGAAGGAGTTGCCAGGGGTCCTGGTTTCTGATCCTAGCTTGAATGCACTCTGCTTGTGGAGTCCTGAGAGGCCAGGTGGCTTCTCTGGGCTCAGTTTCCCTACTTGGGAATAGGTATAGACCAGAGGATCTCTGCAAGCTTCTTTCCAGATAGGACATGCTATGGCTGCTTAATATTTTTAAACAGGACAGAACTGCATCATCTCAAATGCTCATGGCAAGTCAACTCCACTGTATGCATTTTATCACTTCATGATATAATTTAATTTTGCTTGTGAGCTCATCGTACATATCAAACCACATGCAAAAAAAAAAAAAAAAAAGCCAAGCCAGAGAGAACATAAAAAAAGACAATGGCTTGAGGACATGATCTGGGGTCAAGAAATGAGACCTTTTTAACTCTTGAGTGCTCATGATGCAAAGTGAACCTGAGACCATCGAGGGATGACGAATGGATGCGAGCCACTCTTCCTCCACAAACTTCACCTTCCTTCCACCATCCTCAGAGTACCATGTCTAAAACTAGGATACTCATCAGTTGAATTGGATGGGAATGAAATCCAAGTCCCACCTCCATGGATTCCAGCCACACTCACTAAACATGAGAACAGGCAGAACGCACACAGAATGAGAAGTGGGCGTGTGAACAGGGGGCTGAAGTCTGGAAGGCACTGAGCAACAGAAGCTACCAGCTCTTTCGCCTTGAGAAAGCCTGGCTGTGCTTTGTATCTTGTCTGTAAATATCTGTTTACTGAGTTAAAATGCAAACAGTCTGGGTGTGCCTTAAAAGTGAACACCAAAAAGGAAAGGCCTAACCCAGTTCAGTGGCTCATGCCTATAATCCCAGTGCTTCAGAAGGCTCAGGTGGGAGGATTGCTTCAGGCCAGGAGTTTGACACCAGCCTGGGCAACACAACAAGATCCCGTCTCTATAAAAATTTAAAAATGTAGCCGGGCACAGTGGTGTGCACTTGTAATCCCAGCTACTTGGAAGCCTGAGGCAGGAGGATCTCTTGAGCCTGGAAGGTCGAGGCTGCAGTGAGCCATGATTGCACCACTGCACTCCAGCCTGGGTGACAGAACAAGACCCTGTCTTAAAAAAAAAAAAAAAAAAAAAAAAAAAGGAAGGGAGAGAGGGAAGGAGAGAAGGAGGAAAGGGAGGGGAGGGGGAGGGAAGGGGGAGGGAAGAGCGAGGGAAGGGGGAGGGGAGGGGAGAAGAAAGAGACCTGTGGGAAAGCTGATGTGAGCGTGACAAGGGAGGTGTCCTCATTCAACACATTGACTTTTGCAGTTTGCTCTGTGCTCAGGGCTGGGAACTCAGGGATGAGATAGCCAGTCGGTGTCCTGCTAAAGCAGAATGGTAAGACACACACACAAATGAGAACAAAACCCTGTGCTGAGAACACTGCATTCTTCCACTCGAAGCATTGCGTGGACCTGTAGCGGCAGCACCACCTGGGGGTTTGTTAGAAAAGAATCTTAGGCTCCAGAACCAGAATCTGCATTGTAGCAGGAACTCCAGGGTTTTAGAAGCATGGCTGCATAGGGTAAGGGGCCCTGGGGAGCTTACAGTGGGAGGAGAAGGGCTGATTCTGTCTAAGAGGGTCAGGGAAGGCCTCCCCCAGGAAGTCACATTTGGGCTGGATCTTCAAAGATGAGTAGGAACTTAATTTGAGAAGAGATGGAGGAAATTCCAAGCAGAGGAAGGGGTAGGATGAGATGGTGACAGACTGCAGAGAGAGATGATGCTGAACTGGAAACGGGGGCTAGAATCTGATTTTGAAGGCACCTGTACTCATCTACCATATTCAAGAATTTATGTTTTGTTTGTCTCCTGAGGATGAGAATCAAGTAAGGAGGGAGAACATTCTCCAGGCACCATGCTGACGTTTAATCAATGCAGGGTGTTCAGGGCACATTAGAGATGCTGATGACCTTGTTCACAGCGGAGATTTGCTCTCAGGGAAAATAGTAAAGACTGGTGGCTTTCAGGTCTGCTCACAGAGGGTGGGAGGGTCCTGTATTTAAAGGGAAACAGAAAAAAATGTTTCCATCTAAGGACAACTTCTTCTTTTTTTTTTTTTCCTGAAGGTGATAAAAGCAAGGGAATTATCAATTACTCTAAATGGTAGGAAGCCAAAATATGGTGCCAAAGGACTGGAAAGTAATTTTTCTTGGAGGCAAAGTAGCAACTGTTTAATCTTTTAAACAGCCTCATGGAAGGCCAAGGCAGAGAGAGAGAGAGAGAGCTTGCTTCGCCTTAGCAGAAACCTGCTTGTAACTCAGGACTCAGAAGCCTGGTGTTGTCCAAGGACGGTCCACAGACCGACTGGTCCCATGGCGGGTGGAGCCCACGCTGCCCAGGACCCCGGCTCTGGGAGCGATTGCCTTCCCCATGCAGGCCTGGGCCCTCCTTCAGCTCCCAACTGGCCAGATCCTCTCAATGACGAGCCAGAGGAAGCCATGTGCTTTTAAAAATGCCAGAGGACATTTGTCACACTCTGTTATCATAATGATTATTGATTGCTTAAGTGGTCTTGTGTGTGTGGAATAATATAGCACATCCAATCTAGCACAGATAATTCAGACAGCTCCCACTTTTAGAGATAATGTTGTCTTGGCATCTGAAGGTGTTTTATTGTAGCGACAGTCCTTGGGCCATTGGGACTGTGTATTGGGGGTATAGTATGTGAGAAGTAAAAGGAGAGCATTAGCAACCAGGACTAAACTATGCTGCAATGTGTAGAAGGAAAAAAAAAATGTGGGAGCTTCTGTTATTAGCACTCATTAAATGCTGGCCCTTTAATGAATGCTTTCTAGCACTCATCTCTAATTCATTCCACAACCCTACAAGAGAGCTGTCATTAGCCCCATTTTCAAATGAGTAACCTGGGGTCTGGTGAGGGTGGTTGTCAGGGCCCCGCAGCCAAGCTGTGCAGAGCTGGTGTTCAGGTCTAGGTCAGCCTGTTGTGGACCACAGCTCACCACTCTGACTTCCTGTAGTGTACTACCCTGCCATTCAGAAGTCTCTAAGATGCTGCAAGTTTGCTGAGAGTTTGTCTAGCCTTCAGAAAATTCACACAAAAGAAAAAAACAGGGAAAAGGCAGAAAACAGACAAAATCCACATAGGTAAAACATGAATTAAATATTAATTATTAAATAGCATACGATGTGTAAATTATATATAATCATATATAATAAATTTTTGTTGAAAAAGCTTCATTTTACAAAAGACTTCCACATAGGTTTTATGTATACAGCTTCTAAACGTACTTAAAGTGATCTGTTCACAGATATTTAGTTTGTAGTTTTTCCAGAATAGTTTTCATTTCCATATTTCGCAGATGAAGAGGATTTCACATAAGCCCAAATCTATGGATCCATTTGATTCCTTGAGACATTGGTATGAGCAAATCAATGAGCATTTATCTATGACTACTCCTTTAAAGATGCTGTGTTAAATCCTGGAGGAGAAATGATGGCGAAGGAGATACAGGTTCATCTCTAAAGAGGTCTCTCTCTAGTAGGGGAGATGAATCAAACAAGTAGAAAATTAAGTAAAAGAAGTGTGTTGCTGTTGTCACTGTTGTTTTTAATGTTAGTGACAAAAGAAAGAGAGATAAAGGTTTTACTGGCCTAAGTAATATTCAGATGACACTTACTGTAGGCACTCAGAAAGGAGAAATGAGATCGGGTTCAGGAAGGAAAGCTGTACAAAAACCAAGACTTGTTGCTGAATTTAGAAGAGAGTTAAGATGCTGAAAGACAGAAAGAAAATGTATTTATCAGAGCCCAACAAAAGTACACAGGAAGATGTACTTAGGGAAGAGTATCCAGATTAATTTGAGTTTGAAGAAACATTTGCAAATGGACTAAAGAGTGTTAAGCCTGAAAAGGCAGGTTGGAGCCACACCATCAAGAAAGTCTTGAAAGACTCATGCAGCAATTGGGACAGCTCTCTTTGGTGTGGCAGCCATGGAAGGTTTTTGATCTGCTTAAAGTACTTTCTTCCTTTTCAATAAACAGAGCTGGGAGAACTGGATATGCACATGCAAAAAAAAATGAAGTTAGATCCCCTATCTCACACTACATCCAAAAATCAACTCAAAATAAGGGTGGGCATGGTGGCTTGTGCCTGTAATCCCAATGCTTTGGGAGGCTGAAGTGGGTGGATCGCTCTGAGCTCAGGAGTGCAAGACCAGCCTGGGCAACATGGTGAAACCCTGTGTCTACCAAAAATACAAAAAAAAAAAAAAAAAAAAAAAAATAGTCCCAGCTACGTGGGAGGCTGAGGTGGTAGGACTGCTTGAGTCTGGGAAGCAGAGGTTGCAGTGAGCCAAGATCGCACCACAGCACTCCAGCCTAGGCAACAAAATGAGATGCTATCTCCAAAAGAAAAAAAAAATCGACTCAAAATAGATCACAGCTGTATATGTAAGAGCTAAAATATACAACTATTAGAAGAAAACACAGAAGTAAAGCTTTGTGATCTTGAATTAAGCAATTATTTCTTAGGTACAACACTGAAAGCACAAATTATTAAAGAAAAATTGATGTTGAATTTAATAAACATTTTAAAACTGCATTTCGAACAACACCATCAAGAAATAGAAAGGAGGCCAGGTGCAGTGGCTCACGCCTGTAATCCCAACACTTTAGGATGCCGAGGTAAGAGGATTGCTTGGCCGGGCGTGGTGGCTCACACCTGTAATCCCAGCACTTTGGGAGGCCGAGGCCGGCAGATAACCTGAGGTGGGGAGTTCGTAGACCAGCCTGACCAACATGGAGAAACCCTCTCTCTACTAAAAATACAAAATTAGCCAGGTGTGGTGGCGCATGCCTGTAATCCCAGCTACTCGGGAGGCTGAAGCAGGAGAATTGCTTGAACCCGGAAGACGGAGGTAGCAGTGAGCCGAGATCATGCCATTGCACTCCAGCCTGGGTGACAAGAGCAAAAAACCCCGTCTCAAAAAAAGAAAGAAAAAAAAAAAGGATTGCTTGAGGCCAGGAGTTTCAGGCCAGCTTGGGCAATATTGTAAAACTCCGTCTCTACAAAAAAATTTTTAAAAATTAGCTGGGCCTGGCAGTGCACACCTGTAGTTCCAGCTACTCAAGAGGCTGAGGTGGCAGGATCACTTGAGCCCAGGAGGTAAAGGCTGCAGTGAGCTAGGATCACAGCACTACACTGTAGCCTGGGCGACAGAGCAAGACCCTGTCTCTAAAAACAAAACAAAACAAAACAAAAACAAAGAAAGAAAGAAGAAAAGAAAATGGAAAAGACAACTTATAGACTGGGAGAAAATATTTGCATATCATATATCCAATAAAAGACTATGTAGAATTAAGAAAAAAAACTCTTACAACTCAGTAATAAAAAAAAAAAGTTTTAGTGGGCATAACCCATTTGAACAGACATTTCTCTAAAGAAAGTGTAGAGCCAGGCGCAGTGGCCCATGCCTGTAATCCCAGCACTTTGGGAGGCCAAGGCAGGTGGATCACCTGAGGTCAGGAGTTCAAGACCAGGCGGACCAACATGGAGAAACCCCACCTCTGCTAAAAATGCCAAAAAAATTACCAATTTTTCTCCTCTTACCTCGGCATCCTAAAGCCGGGTGGTGCCTGCCTATAATCCCAGATACTGGGGAGGCTGAGGTGAGAGAATAGCTTGAACCTGGGAGGCAGAAGTTGTGGTGAGCCGAGATCATGCCATTGTACTCCAGTCTGGGCAACAAGAGCAAAACTCCGTCTCAAGAAAAAAAGAAAAGAAAAGAAAGCATAGAATGTGCAATAAACACATGAAAAGATGCTCAACATTATTAGTCATTAGAGAACTGCAAATCAAAAATACAGTGAGACACCACTTCTTATCCACTAGGGTGGCTATAGTAAAAAGCAGACAATAACAAATGCTGTTGAGGATGTGGAGAAAGTAGATTCCTCATACACTGCTGGTGGGATGAAAAACGGTACAGCTGCTGTGGAAAACAATTTAGCAGTTCCTCAAAAATGTTAAACCTAGAGTTACCATGTGACTGAGCAAGTCCTCTCAGAGAAATTCTTTAAGAGAAATAAAAGCCGGGCACTGTGGCTCACGCCTGTAATCCCAACACTTTGGGAGGCTGAGGAGGGTGGATCACTTGAGATAAGGAGTTCGAGACCAGCCTGGCCAACATGGTGAAACCCTGTCTCTACTAAAAGTACAAAAAATTAGCAGGGCATGGTGGTGTACGCCTGTAATCCCAGCTACTCGGGAGGCTGAGACAGGAGAATCACTTGAACCCAGGAGGCAGAGGTTGCAGTGAGCCAAGATCATACCATTGCACTCCAGCCTGGGCAACAGAGTGGGACATTGTCTCAAAAATAAATAAATAGGCCAGGCGCGGTGGCTCATGCCTATAACCCCAACACTTTGGGAGGCCAAGGCTGGCGGATCACGAGGTCAGGAGATCAAGACCATCCTGGCTAACGTGGTGAAACCCCATCTCTACTAAAAATACAAAAAATTATCCAGGTGTGGTGGAGGGTGCCTGTAGTCCCAGCTACTCAGGAGGCTGAGGCAGGAGAATGGCCTGAACCCAGGAGGCGGAGCTTGCAGTGAGCCAAGATTGCACCACTACACTCCAGCCTGGATGACAGAGCGAGACTCTGTCTCAATAAATAAATAAATAAAGAGAGAAATAAAATGACATTTGTACTAAGATTTGAACACGTATAGTCATAGAAGCATTACTCACGATAGCCATTTGGCTGTGGAAACAACCCAAGTGTCCATCAACTGACGAATGGAAAAACAAGATGTGGTCTATCCATATTGTGGAATACTATTTAGCCATGAAAGAGAATTGAGTACTTACACATGCTACAACATGGATGAACCTCAGAAGTGTTATGCACAGTGAAAGAAGCCAGACACAAAGACCATGTGGAAGGAAAATTAATCTTGGGACCCCCAAATCACTAAAGCAAAGGGAAAAGTCAAGCTGGGCACTGCTAAGGGCAAACCTGCATTAGTAGCTTAGACAGCTACTAAGAAGAAAAAGCTACATACCTCCCTCACAAGGAATTCCCTTGTGGATAAAGGACAGACAGAGCTCAAAGTCATCCCTCAGCTCACTGAGATAGATGCATATCTGATTGCCTCCTTTGAAAAAGCTAATCAGCAACTCGAAAGAATGCGATCCTTTGTCTCTTACCTATGACCTGGAAGCCCCCTCCCCAACTCGAGTTGTCCCGACTTTCCAGATGGAACCAGTGTACATCTTAGGTAGACTGATTGACATCTCATGTATCCCTAAAATCTATAAAACCAAGCTGTGCCCTGACCACCTTGGGCACACGTTGTCAGGACCTCCTGAGGCTGTGTCACGGGCACAGGTCCTTAACTTTGACAAAATAAACTTCGTAAATTGACTGAGACCCATCTCAGGTATTTAGGGTTCACAATCACATACTATAAGATTCCATTTCTAGGAAAAGTGCAAACAAGGCACATATTCAGACAGGGCTGGAGGTGAGAATAGGATGTAAGTGAGCATGAAGTTTCTTTTTGGGATGAGGGAAATATTCTAAAATTAGATTAGAGGGCAGCACAACTCCATAAATATACTAAAGATCATCGAAGTGTGCACTTAAAACAGGTGAGTTTTATGGTATATAAATTGTATCTCAATAAAGCTGATTTTTTAAAACTCTTCCTTCATTCCTTTCTTCCTTCCTCCTTTTCTCCTTTCCTGTCTTTCTTGTCTTCTGTTCTCCTGTCCTTTTTTTTTTCTCTTACTCTTTTGCCCAACTTTTAACCACAGGGAAGCATTTAAAACATAAATGTTGAGCAAACACTCAGGTTGCCACTATTCAGGTCAATAAATGGAATGTTTCTAGCTTCCCAGAGGCCTCTCCTTGCAAATACAGTGTCTCTTCTCAATTGCAACTTCCCCCTCCTCTAAATACCAATTATCCTAGCTTTTATGGTAGCCACTTTCTCACTTTTCTGTACAGTTTTACTGGTTTTACTACTAAGTATGCATTTCTAGACAATATTAATTTTGTTTGTTTTTGAAATAGATATACAGGTACAGATATTCATACATTATGCATAGTTTTCTGTCTGGTTTATTTCATTCGACATAATGTTTGTAAGAATAGAATTTTTGATGAAAAGAAGCAAACTGTAAAATATTTGAAGAGATTTATTCTGAGCCAGCTATGAGTGACCAATGGCCCATGACACAGCCCTGTCCCCTTCTCAGGGTAAACACACCTGGCAGTGGTGTTTATCTGGTTCACCAGGCTGGCTGCTCCCTCAGGAATAACTTCCTGTGCGTCCTGATCAGATATATTCATCAGCGATTGTTTAATAGTGAGCTATGGGTGCTGCATCAACCCAAACATGCTCTTTCATTCTCTGGCATTGAAAATTAAAGATACTGGCCTGGTGTGGTCGCTCATGCCTATAATCCCAGCACTTTGGGAGGCCGAGGTGGGTGGATCACCTGAGGT
Source organism: Homo sapiens (assembly GCF_000001405.40). Taxonomy (NCBI): domain Eukaryota; kingdom Metazoa; phylum Chordata; class Mammalia; order Primates; family Hominidae; genus Homo; species Homo sapiens. The sequence goes on from NC_000010.11 coordinate 49,790,910, forward strand.
CAGGAGTTCAAGATGAGCCTGGCCAACATGGTGAAACCCCGTCTCTACTAAAGATACAAAAATCAGCCAGGTGTGGTGGCACGCACCTGTAATCCCAGCTACTCAGGAGGCTGAGACAGGAGAATTGCCTGAACTCGGGAGATGGGGGTTGCAGTGACCCAAGATCATGCCACTGCACTCCAGGCTGGGCAACAGAGCGGAACTACGTCTCTAAGTAAATAAATAAATAAAACAATTAAATTAAATTAAAGATACTGATATGGTTTTATGTGTGTCCCCACCCACATCTCATGTCAAATTGTAATTCTTGTGTGTCAGGGAAGGGGCCTGGTGATAGGTGATTGGATCATGGGTGTGGATATCCCCTTGCTGTTCTCGTGATAGTGAGTGAGTTCTCACGAGATCAGATGATTTAAAAGTGCATGGTTTTCTTCACTGGCTCTCTCTCCTGCCACCTTGTGAAGAAGGTCCTTGCTTCCCCTTCGCCTTTCACCATGATTTTAAGTTTCCTGAGGCCTCCCAGTCATATTTCCTGTTAAGCCTGCAGAACTGTGAGACAAGTAATCCTCTTTTCTTCATAAATTACCCAGTCTCAGGTAGTTCTTTATAGCAGTGTGAGAACAGACTAATACAGATACTGTCCTTAAAGTAGTTGTTTTACAATCCATTACAGTAAAGGTTTCTCAGGAAGCCGATGATACCAATTTACAAAACAGATCCATTCCTTTACATTTTCCCCTCTGGTTTTAATAGTTACTTGGTTTTGCCTTTCCCTTGACCATCTTCTTGGCAACCACAGGTCTCAGAGGTAACTTTTGTTGCCCTGGCTTAATTTTTCCTTTTATAGGTAGCTTCGAGGCTGGTGGCCTGAGCTGAGATAGACCCATACCTGAGCTTGGTCCAGCCTTAAGGCCCAACCCAGCACTCTTTTACTTCCCTTTTAGCTATTGCAGATAATAATAACCAAGGGATTGAATATTTTATCTTTTTCTCATTAGTTTGCATTTTCTTATGCATTCAATGAACCAACTCCCTAGGAATATGAGTATGGCCCAGCTCTAAATTCCACTGGAAACTTTTACCTTTAGTAACTGATGCAATCCACTGCAGCTCCTTAAGATGGGTAACCACGTGGCCACCCAGGAGTCTAAGGTTTTTGATTTCCCACCTTTTTACCTTCCTCTTTATCCATTTAGATTTAGCTATATAATTTTTCCTTTATTTTAAAGCAACTCAAATAGCCTTTAAACTAGAAAAAAAATTACATTTTCTTTAGCAAACATCCTTGTGTTTTTATAAACCTCACCAAAACATTTCTTACTCTTTTACTATTTTATCTCTTGGTAACCCAAATTCCAAGTGAAAAACCCAAGGTTACTTAATTTAATATAATATGACCTTAAGATTCTAAACTACTGGAGAGAATTTTGAGATTAAATTTACCAAATTAATCGTACCATATATTACTATAGTCATGTGAACTAAAAGGCATCAGAGCTAACTTTCGTTAGTCTGATTAGCACTTACTTTTCTTTAAGCCAATTGATGAGAGCTCTTTCATATAGTTTGATAGTTAATTATCACCTCCACATAACACATGTCGATATAACAGATACACAGACAAAAGCAGATCCTATAAGATTTTTCTTTCTCTTTTTTTTTTTTTTGAGACGGAGTTTTGCTCTTGTTGCCCAGGCTGGAGTGCAATGGCGTGGTCTTGGCTCACTGCAACCTCTGCCTCCCACCCAGCTAATTTTTGTATTTTGTTTTTTGTTTGTTTGTTTTTGTTTTTTGAGACGGAGTCTCACTCTGTTGCCCAGGCTGGAGTGCAGTGGCGTGATCTTGGCTCACTGCAACCTCTGCCTCCCGGGTTCAAGCGATTCTCCTGCCTTAGCCTCCCAAGTAGCTGGGATTACAGGCATGTGCCACCACACTCGGCTAATTTTTTGTATTTAGTAGAGACGGGGTTTCACCATGTTGGTAGGCTGGTCTCGAACTCCTGACCTCAGATGATCTACCCCCGCTCAGCCTCCCAAAGTGCTGGAATTACATGCATGTGCTACTGCGCCCGGCAATTTTTGTATTTTTAGTACAGACAGGGTTTCACCATGTTGGCCAGGATGATCTCAGTCTCTTGACCTCATGATCCACCCGCCTCGGCCTCCCAAAGTGCTGGGATTACAGGCGTGAGCCACCACGCCTAGCTATTTACCTTTTAATAACACATTTTTTAGAAAAATGTTTTTCTATAGTTTTTAAATTAGAAACTACCCAGTTAATGAATTCTATTATTTAATGTAACTTTAGATTCTAAATTATATATCAAGTTTGTTTATAAGCATTTATTCCATTACATTTACCTGATTAATTTTGATAGTTTACTTAGGTTATTTATGAAAACTGTGATAGTCATCATTTAAAGCTATTTCCTGTTAACCTTTTTTATAGCCTGTGAGTTTCTTACCTAAGTAAGAAACTTAAGGTTAAATATCAGTATTTTACCAATAACTCAGAATTTAGCTGTTTTCATTAAACCAACAATAGTAAATGTCTTATTTATCAAAAATTACACAAGAGGGCTGGGCGTGGTGGCTTACACCTGTAATCCCAGCACTTTTGGAGGCCAAGGCGAGCAGATAGATCACTTGAGGCCAGGAATTTGAGACCAGCCTGGCTATGATAGTGAAACCCTCGTCTCTACTAAAAATTCAAAAATTAGCCGGGTGTGTGGCGCACACTTGTAATCCCAGCTATTCGGGAGGCTGAGGTAGGAAGATCTCTTGAACCCAGGAGGTGGAGGTTGCAGTGAGCTGAAATTGTGCCATTGCACTCCAGTTTGGGCAACAGAACAAGAGTCTGCCCACCCCCCCAAAAAAAAGCAACAACAAAAATTACACAAGTAAAGATCATTTTGTTTTGGACTGAGTTTACAGTTTTATAACTCTTATACCAAATTTTGACATCTTATAGTATTTGGCAGGGATAAGTTTGAAACTGCTTCCATCATTCAATGGAAACAAAAATGCTGACAATTCTTAAGACACATCTAAAATTTACTAATAATTTTAAAGCTGGCTTATTTATTAAATATTTTACTTATGTCACATGAAGTTGAAAAACATTTGGGTTTATTATTTATGAGTACTCTTTAACTTTAAGCCAATTTGGTACATTGTGGCCACAACACATAAAGTACATGTACATATACATAAACACACATACCACTCATACAAAAATCCTGTTGCTTTTACTTCAGAATTCTAGACATGAGATATTAATACGAACTCACCAGTTTACAAAAACAAACAAATGGCCTGGCACAGTGGCTCATGCCTATGATCCCGATACTTTGGTAGGCCAAAGTGGGCAGATCGCTTGAGCCCCAGGAGTCCCAGACCAGCCTGGACAACTCAGTGAAACCCCGTCTCTACAAAAAAATACAAAAAAAAAAAAAATTAGCCAGGCATGGTGGTGGGCACCTGTGGTCCCAGCTATTCAGGAGGCTGAGTTGGGAGGACCGCTTGAACCGGGGAGACAGAGGTTGCAATGAGCTGAGATCATGCCACTGCACTCCAGCCTGGGTAACAGAGCCAGACCCTTCTCAAAAAAAAAAAAAAAAAAAAAAAAAAAGCCAAATAAAATGGTTGAATCCAAGCAGTGATTTTTTTTAATCTCAGCAGAATAGTAACAACAGATTTTAAGCAGCAAAAAATAAAACAGAGAAATAGAGAACTTAAGAACTCCGTAGTTGCAGGTGGACCATTGGGCTCTGAATTTTTCCGTGATGTAATTTACCCATCAGTTCAAAATGTGCACAACAGACCATAGTATGTAACCAGCTCGACTACTAGAAAACCTGGCGTGCCTTTGGACTTTTCGTTTACTTTTCTTTCTTTTTTCTTTCTTTCTTTTTTTTTTTTTTTTTAAGACAGGGTCTCTCTCTGTTGTCCAGACTGGAGTGCAGTGGCGTGATCTCAGCTCACTGCAATTTCCACCTCCCAGGTTCAAGCGATTCTCCCGCCTCAGCCTCCTGAGTAGCTGGGATTACAGCACCTGCCATCATGCCCGGCTAATTTTTCTATTTTTTGGTAGAGACCAGGTCTCACCATGTTGTCTTGAGCTCGAACTCCTGAGCTCAAGCATCCTTCCACCTCAGCCTCCCAAAGTGTTGGGATTACAGGTGTGAGCCACTGCACCCAGCCAGACGTTTTTTTTATTTCGTACAAACACTTGCAAGTAGAGCTGCCATAAAACCAATGGGCTGTCCAAAAGGCGGTTGTTGTTTTTTTTTTTTTTCCTCATTCTTAGATTATTTGTGTCCCACTTTTTTTTTTTTTTTAAGGAGGAACTGAGCTGTGGCCTAGGGTTTAGTATGGTGGCTCAAAATGTGCTGCTTGTGGGCGGGACTCCAGTGTGTCACTACTGAGTCGTTTCTGCCCGCTAATGTGTGTCAGTTTCCCTCTCCGGAGGTCTGTCATCTCCAAGAGGGCTTGAAACACAGAGTTATCAGCTCTTATATGCATTTCCTGGGTGTGCTTTTGAAACTAATTTTGTTGGAGGATTCCCTGCTGCAGGGCCGCTGCATATTACAAGGAGTCAATCCCTTAGAGGCTCCCACTCCAGCCCCTTGTCATCTAGGGTCACCTTCAGGCTGAGAGGAGCAAAATCCCCTCTCTCTTCAGAGCTAAGGAGCTCAGACTCTCATTTATCTATGAAAAGGGCAGTTCAGTTGCTCATGCAAATGCACAGACAAGAAAATTGAGCTTAATTTTGGGAGAAAAAGCAATGGAGAAGACCCTTTAGAATGCAACTCTGAACTAGAATTAGGATCCTAAACAATTTCCTAGGCGGAAAAAAAAAAAAAACCAGCTCAAAATAAATCAAGGATCATTTATAAACCAAAGGGAGGTCCAGGACTCGTGAAGACTTCCCAGTTCCACTGGAGGAGAAGCTCGAAGTCGGGAAGGTTTCAATGGGCCCCTGCTGGTACCTTAGCTCCAAGAACAGGCAACTCCTTCTGGGTCATGAATCTTCTCTGAGGCCCCACGTGTTTGGGCACCAAATTACTGTTGACAAAAAGAGCCAAACCCTGTAAAATATTTGAAGAGATTTGTTCTGAGCCAAATATGAGTGACAGCCCGAGGAGATCCTGAGAACATGTGCCCAAGGTGGTCATCGTGCAGCCTAGTTTTATACATTTTAGGGAGACGTGAGACATCATTCAAATACGTGTAAGATTTACATTGGTTCAATCTACATTGAACAGGGAGTGGTGGGAAGACTTCCAGGTCATAGGTAGACTTAAAAATTTTCTAACTGGCACCCAGGTGCCATAGCTCATGCCTGTAATACCAGCACTTCGGGAGGCTGAGGCAGGAAGATCACTTGAGGTCAGGAGTTCAAGACCAGCCTGGCCAACATGGTGAAACCCCATCTCTACTAAAAATACAAAAATTAGCTGGGCGTGGTGGTGCGCACCTGTAATCCCAGCTACGCAGGACGCTGAGGCTGGAGAATCGCTTGAACCCAGGAGGCAGAGGTTGCAGTGAGCAACCACTGTTCTACTGTGTGGAGATCGTGCCACTGCACTCCAGTCTGGGCAACAAAGCAAGACTCCGTCCCAAAAATAAATAAAATAAAACAAAATAAAATTTTTCTGATTAGCAATGGGTTATTATCAATGGAAAGGAAAGTTTGGGTTATGATAAGGGGTTTTATCATGCAGATGAAGCCTCCAGGTAGCAGGTTTCAGAGAGAACAGATTGTAAATATTTCTTATCAGACTTAAAAGAGGTTTATCAGTAATTCCAAAAGGGAGGGGGTATAAACGAGGCATGTCTGGCTACCCTTCCCATCACGGCCTGAACTAGGTTTTTTTGGTTTGGTTTTGTCTTTTTGAGACAAGGTCTCATCTGTTGCCCAGGCTGGAGTACAGAGGCACAATCTTGGCTCACTGCAACCTCCACCTCCCAGGTTCAAGCAATTCTCGCATCTCAGGCTCCCGAGTAGTTGGGACCACAGGTGTGAGCCATCATGCCCAGCTAATTTTTTTGTATTTTTGGTGGGGATGGGGTTTTACTATGTTGCCCAGGCTGGTCTTGAACTGAGCTCAAGTGATCCACCTGCCTTGGCCTTCAAAAGTGCTCGGATTACAGGTGCGAAGAACCACCCCCAGACTGAAGTAATTTTTCAGGTTAACTTTGGAACACCCTTGGCCTGGAAGAGGGGTCCATTAAGATGGTTAGGGGGCTTAGAATTTTATTTTTGGTTTATGGAGTCTGGAGATAGATTCACACACCTTCATTAATTTTTTTTTTTTTTTTTTTGAGACGGAGTCTCGCTCTGTCACCCAGGCTGGAGTGCAGTGGTGCGATCTCGGCTCACTGCAAGCTCCCCTCCTGGGTTCATGCCATTCTCCTGCCTCAGCCTCCCTAGTAGCTGGGACTACAGGCGCCCGCCACTACACCCAGCTAATTTTTTTGTCTTTTTAGTAGAGATGGAGTTTCACCATGTTAGCCAGGATGGTCTCCATCTCCTGACCTCGTGATCCACCTGCCTCAGCCTCCCAAAGTGCTGAGATTACAGGCGTGAGCCCCCCTGCCCAGCACCTTCATTAATTTTTGATGAAGTTCCCAAGGCAATTCAATGAGGAAAGAAGTCTTTTCAACAAGTGATGCTGAAATAAATGAACATTTATGCAAAAAAAAAAAGAACCCTGACCCCTACTTTATCACATATACAAAAATTTACTTGAAATGGATCTTAGACTTAAATTTAAAACCTAAAACTCCAAACTTTTAGAAGAAAATATAGGAGGAAAATCTCTGTGAACTTTGGTCAGGCAAAAATGTATTAGATAGGACACAGGTGGCACAGGCCATTACATTTTTGAAATAAATTTTACTTTACCTTACTTTTAAAAAGCCTGTTGAAAGACACTGTTAAGAAAATGAAAAAATAAGACACTGACTGAATAACATATTTGCCAAACACATATCTGATAAAGGATTTATATCCAGAAAACATAAAGAATATTTAAAATTTAATAATAATTCCAGTGAGTTTAGCTAAAATTAAGAAACCTGGCCGGGCATGGTGGCTCATGCCTGTAATCCGAGCACTTTGGGAGGCCAAGGTAGGCAGAATGCTTGAGCTCAGGAGTTTGAGACCAGCCTGGGCAACATGGTGAAATCCCATCTCTATAAAACATACTCGAGTTAGCCGTGCATGGAGGCACACTCCTGTAGTCTCAGCAACTTAGGAGGCTGAGGCAGGAGGATCACTTGAGCCTGGGAGTCAGAGATCACAGTGAGCTGAGATCACTTCACTGCACTCCAGCCTGGGCGATGGAGCTAGACTCTGTCTCAAAAATAAATAAATAAATAAATTTAATTTAATTAAGAAACCCAAGGATACCAAGTGTGGGTGAGTATTCAGGGCAAATACCATTCTCATATACTGCTGGCGAAAGGACAAAATAGTGCAGCCACATTGGAAAGCACTTTGGCAGTTTCTTTTAAAGTTGACTATACAACCCAACCATCCGACTTTTGGGGTTTTACCCAAGGGAAGTGAAAATACATATCCACACAAAGCCCAAATGTTTCTAGCGGCTTTATTCATAACCACGAAAACCTGGAAACAACCCAGTGTCCATCAACTGGTGAATGAATAAACAAATTATGGTACCTCTATACAATGGAATACTGCTCAGTAATAGGAATGAGTTACTGATAACTGATATGCTACAACATAGATCACTCTCAAAAAATGTGTGCTAAGTGAAAGAAGTTAGATAAAAAGATAAATGATGCATTCAAGATGAATGAATGACTCCATCACATTCTGGAAAAAGCGAAACTATAGGAACTGAACTCATATCAATGTTTGATAGAGGGGCTAGACCATAGGGAGGGGATTGACTTCAAGGGGCAAGGCAGAACTTTGGGCAGTGAACCTGTTATAGTTATGGTACAAATTGAAATGCTGTGTTATAGTTTTCTTCTGCTCCATAGTTTTAGGGAGAGTTTCATGGGCTGAAATATTCTGATTCTTTTTGTTTTCTTCTTGTGGCGTTGTGTGGATGGAAACTGCCCGTGTGCATGCATTCCGTGAATGGGATTGGGAGGCTGGGTGGTTTACAAAATCCCTCCTCCCTCTTCTGTCACTGCCGGACTGTCCTTGCATTTTCCCTAATAGATGGCTTTAGGGAAGGGTGTGTGTATGAAGGAGTATTTCATGTGTCCTTCAACTTTTTGGCTCTCTTCTGTCTTCCAATAGTCTATATCCCTCTCTTGTTCTTTCCCTTTCACCACTCAGGTTTCAAGAACCATTCTTTCTCCTTTTTCTACCTTTTTTTGTCTCGCTCTGTCACCCAGGCTGGAGTGCAGTGGCACAATCTCGGCTCACAGCAACCTCCGCCTCCCGGGTTCAAGCAATTCTCCTGCCTCAGCCTCCTGAGTAGCTGGGATTACAGGCACGTGCCACCATGCCCAGCTAATTTTCATAATTTTAGTAGAGATGGGGTTTCACCATGTTGGTCAGGGCTGGTCTCGAACTCCTGACCTCATGATCCGCCTGCCTCGGCCTCCCAAAGTGCTGGGATTACAGGCATGAGCTACCGTGCCTGGCCTTTTCTAGCATTTTTGTGAGGATGCTCAAATATACAGAAAATAATTCTCCAGCAAGCACTCATATACTCATCACTTAGATTCTACAATTGGCATTTTATAATTACTGCTTTCCCACATGTTGCTGAAACTATCCCTCTCTCCCTGCACTAATCCATACTGTGTTGATACATTTCAAAGTAAATTGTACACATCTGTCCATTTCCCCTTAGACACTTTATCATATCTATCATTAAATAGAGCTCAATATTTCTTTGCAGTTTTTAAATGTAAAATCTACATACAATGAAATTCACAAATATCCAGTATGTATTGCTAAATGTTGACAATTGCATAGTTCTGTTTAACCCAAACTCCTATCAAGATATAGGATATCATCATCAACCCCAGATAGTTTTCTTATGTTCCTCAGTAAATCTTCCACCCCATACTCACAGACAACATCGTTCTGATGTCATCATGGGTTTTTTTTTTTTCTGCCTGTTCTAGAATTTCATATGAACTGCAACTGTATGGTGTGTACTCTTTTGCATAAGCTTATTTCACTTAGCATGTTTTTGAGATTCATCCATATTGTTTTTATTAGTAATTTTATCAGTAATTCATTCTTTTTTAGTTCTGAGTAGTTTGAATATACCACAAATTGCTTATTTATTCTCCTGTTGGACATTTGGGTTGTTTCCAGTTTGAGGCTATCAGGAAAAAGCTGCTAGTTATTCAGAGATGCCCTTTATCAGTCTAAGGGCTTCCTTCCGTAGCTTGCTGAGAGTTTTTATCATGAAAGAATATTGAATTTCCTTCCTAAAAAAAAAAAATCTTCCTTTCTAAGAAGCCATGCCTTTCAAGGCTGCCACCATGAGTCCCATAAACTTTTTTTTTCCCCCAAAAGAGCATCAGTTTCTCAACCCATAAATTTTCAAGGCCCATCCCTTTAGTGTTCTGATTTACTGTTTTGCAAAATTTAATTCACATACATGAAGTGTACAATTCAATGGTCGTTAGTCTATTGATAAGTGCAACCATCACCACAGTCCATTTTAGGATATTTTTGTCACTGCAAGAAGAAACACCATACATATCATACATATCCTTTGGCTATCACCCCTGTTTTCCCTTCATCCCTGCCCCCAACCCTAAGCAACAACAATTCTACTCTCCTTCTCTATGAATATGCCAATTCCGAACTTTCCCATGAATGGAATCATACAAGATGTGGTCTTCGGTGTTTGGCTTTTTTTTTTTTTTAGACAGGGGCTTGCTCTGTCGCCCATGCTGGAGTGCAGTGAAGTGATCCTAGCTCACTGCAGCTCAACCTCCCCGGTTCAAGCAATCCTCCCACCTCAGCCTCCCGAGTAGCTGGGACTACAGATGTGCGCCACCACGCCCTGCTAATTTTAGCCTCTTTTGCTTATCATGTTTACAAGGTTCATCCGTGTAATAGCAAGTATCAGAACTTCATTCCTCTTCATGGCAGAATAACATTTTATTGTATAAATATCCCACATTTTATTGACTCATTCACCTGCTGATACATTTGGGTTGTTTCTATCTTTCAACTATTGTCAATAATGCTCCTATAAACATTCATGTGCAAGTTTCTGTGTGGACATGGGCTTTTCTTTCTATTGTCTATGTAGCTAGAGTGGAATTGCTGGATCACGTGGTAAATTTCTGTGGAGTAACTGCCAGACTGTTTTCCAGAGTGGCTGGCCTATTTTTATGTTCCCACCAGCAGTGTTGGGGGTTTCCATTTCTCCACATTCTCACCAGCAACTGTTGTTATCTGAGTTTTTGATTCTAGCCATCCTAGTGGGTGTGAAGTGGCACCTAATTGTGGTCTTGATGTGCATTTTCCTGATGACTAATGATTCTGAGCATTGTTTCATGTGCTGTATGCCATTTGTGTATCTTCTTTAGAGAAATGACTATTCAGATCCTTTGCCCTTTTTTTATTGGTTTATTTTTTTTATTATTGCATTGTAAGAGTTCTTTATATAGTCTAGATACAAGGCCCATTAGATATATGATTTGCAAAAGCTTTCTCCCACTATGTGAACCATCTTTTCACTTTCTTGATGGAGTCCTTTGAAACATAAAAGTTTAAAATCTCGATTAAGTCAGCTTATCTATTTTTTCTTCTGCTGTTTGTACCTTTGGTGTCATATCTAAAAATATTTTGCCACATTTAAGGTCACAAAGTTTTTTTTTAATTTTATTTTTTATTGTGGTAAAATATATACAACCACATACATATTATATATATATATACGTGATATATATATAGTTTACCTTTTTTAACATTTTCAAGTTAGGCTCAGTGGCATTAAATGCATTCACATCGTTCTGTGCAACCATCACCACCATCCATTTCTAAAACTTTTTCATCTTCCCAAACTGAAACTCTGTACCCATTAAACAATAACTCCCTGTATCCCCCTCACTCTTCACCTGGTCCCTGGTAACCAGTGTTCTACTTTCTGTCTCTATGCATTTGACTACTGTAGGTACCTCATATAAGTGGAATCATGTAATATTTGTCCATTTTTTATCTGGCTTATATTCCACTTGGCATAATGTCTTCAAAATTTATCCATATTGTAGCATGTGTCAAAATTTCCTTCCTTTTTAAAGCTATATAATAATCCATTGTATGCATAGATCACATTTTGTTTATCTATTCATCTATTGTTGGACATTTCCCACCAACTTCCAACTTCTGGCTATCGTGAATAATGCTACAATGAACATTGTGTACAAATACCTGTTTGAGTCCCTGCTTTCAATTATTTTGTGGATATACTCAAAAGTGGGATTGCTGAATCCAATTAAGTAAAAAATTAATTCAGGCCAGGTGCAGTGGCTCGCGCCTGTAATCCCAGCACTTTGGAAGGCCAAGGTGGGCAGATCACCTGAGGTCAGGAGTTCAAGACCAGACTGGCCAACATGGCAAAACCTCTTCTCTACTAAAAATACAAAATTAGCCAGGCTTGGTGTCCCATGCTTGTAATCCCAGCTACTTGGGAGGCTGAGGCAGGAGAATCACTTGAACCCAGGAGGCAGAGGATGTGGTGAGCCAAAATTGAGCCATTGCACTCCAGCCTGGGCAACAGGCTCAAAAAAAATAAAATTAATTCAATGTTTAAATTTTGGAGGAACTGAAAGGCCATCAAGGTTTATACCTATGTTTTCTTCTATGAGTTTTATAGCTTCCGCTCTTACATTTAAAATGTAATGTGTTTTTGACCCATTTTGAGTTTGTTTACATGTGGTATGAGGTAAGGGTTCCAACTCAACTCTTTCGTATGTAGGCTATCCAGCTGACCCATCACCATTGTTGAAAAGACTATTCTTTCCTCATTGGATGGTGTTAACACCCTTGCATAATCATACATTTATTTCCAGATTCTTAAACTATCCCATTAATCCATATGTCTCTCCTGGTGCCAGCAAGTTTTGCAATAGATAAATGTGAGTCTTTCTACTTTATTCTTTTTTTTTTTTTTTTTTTTTGAGGCAGAGTCTGCTCTGTCGCCCAGGCTGGAGTACAGTGGCGCGATCTCGAATCACTGCAACCTCCACCTCATGGGTACAAGCAATTCTCCTGTCTCAGCCTCCCAAGTAGCTGGGATTACAGGCATGTGCCACCACGCCCAGCTAATTTTTGTATTTTTAGTAGAGACGGGGTTTCACCATATGGGTCAGGCTGATCTGGAACTCCTGACCTCACGTGATCCACCTGCCTCGGCCTCCCAAAGTGTTAGGGTTACAGGTGTGAGCCACTGCACCTGGCCACTTTATTCTTTATTTTCAGGATTGTTTTGACTCTTCTGGCTCCCTTGAAATTCCATGTGAATTTTAGAAGTATTTCATCAATTTGTATAAAGAAGTCAGCTGGGTGCCTGTAGTCTCAGCACTTTGGGAGGCTGAGGTGGGCACTTGAGGTCAGAAGTTTGAGACCAGCCTGGCCAACATGGTGAAACCCTGTCTCTACTAAAAATACAAAAATTAGCCCGGTGTGATGGCACTCCCAGCTACTCGGGAGGCTGAGGCAGGAGACTCGCTCGAACCTGGGAGGTGGAGACTGATGTGAGCCAAGATTGCGCCACTGCACTCCAGCCTGGGTAACAGAGTGAGACTCTGTCCCCCGCCCCCCAACAAAAAAAGCCATAAAAGTATATTATATCCAGGATATAGTTGTTGTTTTTTTTTTGTCGTTTTTGGTTTAGTATTTGCTCCATTTTACTGCTTAAAAGCAGAATTTTCTGAGCCCTTTCACAGCCCTAAGGCCTGGTAAACTCTAAAACCTCAATATATAGTGCAAACGTGTATTGAATTTAGGCTTAGTTTTTTTTTAGAGAGAGAGAAAGAGATAAGGTCTTGCTCTTTCATCTAGGCTGGAGTGCAGCGGCGCCATCATAGCTCACTGTAACCTCCAACTTCTGGGCTCAAACAATCCTCCCACCTAAGCCTCCTGAGTAGCTGGGACTACAGGGTGTGGGCTACTATGCCCTGCTAATTTTCTACTTATTTTAACAATATTTTTTGCAGAGACAAGGTTTTATGTGTTGTCCAGGCTGGTCTCAAAATCCAGGCCTTAAGGGATCCTCCCACCTCAGCCTCCCAAACTGCTGGGATTACAGGCATGAGTCACCACATGCCAGCCTGGTTTCCCTGTTTCAACATCTTGCATTGCTGTGATATATTTGTAACTGATGGGGCTATATCGATACATTATTATTAACTCAAGTCCATTACATGAGGGTTCACACTTTGTGTTGTACAATTCTATGGGTTTTGACAAATGCATATGTCATGTATCCACCATTACACTGTCGTACAAAATAGTCTCATCGTCCTAAAAATCCTGTGCCCCATTTTTCACCCCTCCCCTCACCTGTCTACTCACCTTGAACCCCTGGAAACCACTGATATTTATACTATCTCTGTAGTTTCACCTTTTCCAGAAGTCATAATTTGAATGATACAGTATGTAGCCTTTTCAGACCAGCTTCCTTCACTTGGCAATATGCATTTAAGGTTCTTCCGTGTTTTCTAGTGTTTTGACAGCTCATTTCTGTTTAGCACTGAATAATATTCCATAGTCTGCATGGAGTGGTCCATAGTGCATTCACCTACTGAAGACATCTTTGTTGTTTCTATATTTCAGCAATGAGAAATAAAACTGCTGTAAACATTCATGTGAGGATATTCTGTGGATATATTTTCAGTTCACTTGGGTAAAAACCTGGGAGGTCGGCTGCTGGTTCATATGGTAAGACTATGTTTACATTTGTTAAGAAGCTGTCTTCAAAAGTGGCTGTACCTTTTACATTCCCACCAGCAATAAATGAGAGTTCCTGTACCTCCACTTCTGATCAGTGTTTAGTATTGTCAGTGTTTGGGGTTTTAGCTATTCTAATAGCTGTGTAGTGTTATCTCTTTGTAGTTTTAATTTGTGGTACACTAGTGACCTAGGATGTTGGGCATCTTTTCATATGCTTACTTGCCATCTATATATCTTCTTTGGTGAGGTGTCTGTTCAGATCTTCTGCCTACTTTTTTTTTCTTTTTTCAGACAGAGTCTCACTTTGTCACCCAGGCTGGAATGCAATGGTGCGATCTCAGCTCACTGCAACCTCTGCCTCCCAGGTTCAAGCGATTCTCCTGCCTCAGCCTCCCAAGTAGCTACGATTACAAGTGCGCACCATCACGCCCAGCTAATTTTTGTATTTTTAGTAGAGATGGGGTTTCACCATGTTGGTCAGGCTGGTCTCGAACTTCTGACCTTATGATCCATCTGCCTCAGCCTCCCAAAGTGCTGGGACTATAGGCATAAGCCACCACGCCCAGCCTCTGCCTACTTTTTAGTAGGGTTGTTTTCTTATTGTTGAGTTTTAAGAGTTTTTTTCTACACTTTGGATATATATTCTTTTTATCTATTTATTTATTTTTTTTAGACAGAGTCTTCTCTGTCACCCAGGCTGGAGTGCAGTGGCTCAATCTCCACTCACTGCAACCTCCATCTCCCAGGTTGAAGCAATTCTCCTGCCTCAGCCTGCCAAGTAGCTGGGACTACAGGTGAGTGCCACCATGCCTGGCCAAATTTTTCTAATTTAATAGAGACAGGGTTTTGCCATGTTGACCAGGCTGGTCTTGAACTCCTGAGCTCAGGCAATCCACCACCTTGACCTCTCAAAGTGTTAGGATTACAGGCCTGAGCCACTGTGCCCAGCTGGATACATATTATCAGAGTAGCTGGGACTGCAGGCACGTGCCACCACACCCATCTAATTTTTCTATTTTTTGTAGAGATGGGGTTTCACCATGTTGCTTAGGCTGGTCTCGGACTCCTGAGTGCAAGTGATCTGCCTGCCTCAGCCTCCCAAAGTGCTGAGAATACAGGTGTGAGCCACTGCACCTGGCATTGTCTGTTTTTTTGTTTTTGTTTTTTTTTTTGGCATGGTTTGTGCTTTTGATGTTATATCTACAAATTCATCACCGAACCTAGGTCACCTAGATTTTGGCCTTTAGTATCTTTAAGAAATTTTATAGTATTGTGTTTCATATTTAGGTCCATGATCCGTTTTTTAGTTTAATTAATTTTTGTAAAGGTATAAGGTCAGTGCCTAGATTCTTTTTGCACATGAATGTCCAGTTTGGATGTTGGTTAAAAACAGTATCATTTCGGCCAGGCGCAGCATCTCACACCTGTAATCCCAGCACTTTGGGAGGCCAGTGCGGGTGGATCACCTGAGGTCAGCAGTTCGTGACCAGCCTGGCAAACATGGTGAAGCCCCGTCTCTACTAAAAATACAAAAGTTAGCTAGGTGTGCTGGCGGGTGCCTGTAATCCCAGTTACTCAGGAAACTGAGGCAGGAGAATCGCTTGAACCCAGAGGTGGAGGCTGCAGTGAGCCGAGATCAAGTCTACCGATGTTCCTTTTCAGTATTGTGTTGGCTGTTTTGAGTCTTACTGTTCCATATAAACTTTAGAACCACTTTGTCAATATACAAAAATAACTTGCTGGATTTTGACTGAGACTATGTTGAATCCATTGATCAAATTGAGCCTTGGTAACAATGTTGAGTCTTCTGATCAATGAACATGGAATATCTCTCCATTTATTTATTTATTTATTTGAGATGGAGTCTCACTCTGTCGCCCAGGCTGGAGTGCAGTGGCGCAATCTCAGCTCACTGCAACCTCCAAACCCGGGTTCAAGTGATTCTCCTGCCTCAGCCTCCTGAGTAACTGGGATTACAGGCATGTACCACCACGCCTGGCTGATTTTTGTATTTTTGGTAGAGACAGGGTTTCACCATGTTTGTCATGCTGGTCTCGATCTCCCGACCTTGTGATCCACCCACCTTGGCCTCCCAAAGTGCTGGGATTACAGGTGTGAGCCACTGGGCCCGGACTGGTATTTCTCCATTTTTTATTTCTTTCATCTGAATTTGGTAGCTTTCTTCATATAGATCTTGCACATATTTGCGAGCTTTATGCATAAGTATTTCATTTTTTGTGCTAATGTAAATTTTATGGTTTTTAATTTCAAATTCTAACTGTTCATTGCTAGCATACAGCAAAGCAATTAACTTTTTATACTAAACTTGTAACCTGAAACCTTACCATAATAGTTTGTTTGTTTTCTTTGTCTTTTCTTTAGGATTTTCTAGATAAGCATGCCACTGGGAATAAAAGCTGTTTTATTTCTTCCTTCCTAGTCTGTGTGACTTTTTAAAATTTTCTTTTATTGTCCTATTGCATTGGCTAGGATTTCTAGTAGAATGTGGGAAAGTAGTGGTGAGAAGAGAGAGCCTTGCCTTGTTCTTGATCTTAAATGTGAGAAATCTAACTTTTCAACATTGAGTATGATGTTAGCTATAGATTTTTATAGCTCCTTTTAAAAAAATCAAGCTGAGGAAGTTCCTCCTCATGCCTAGGTTGTTGAGAGTCTATTAACCTGAATGAATCTTGAATTTTGTTGGATGCTTTTTTCTACATCTATTGATTGATCATATGACTTTTCTTCTTTGGCTTCTTGATGTGATAGATTACGTTTTCAAATATTGAGCCAGCTGGGCACGGTGGCTCATACCTGTAATCCAGCACTTTGGGAGGCTGAGGTGGGAGGATCACTTGAGCCTGGGAGTTCATGACCAGCCCTGGCAACATAGCAAGATCCTGTCTCTATAAAAATTAAAAAAAAAAAAAAAAGCTAGGCATGGCAGCACATGCCTGTGGTCCCAGCTACTTGGGAGGCTGAGGTGAAAGGATCAGTGACTTGTGGTGGCACCATTTCACTCCAGCCTGAATGAAGGGTGAGACCCTGTCTGAAAACAATCTCAAAAAACCAAAAATATTGAATTAACCTTGCATACCTGGGATAAATCCCACCCTATTGCTCAATTCTATTTGCTATTTGCTAAGATATTTTTAGGCAGTTTTGCATCTATATTTCTACAGGATATTGGTCTGTAGTTTTGTTTATTTACTTTGTCTGGTTTTGGTATTAAAAGGAATTGGGAAGTTTTTTTCTCCTCTTCTGTTTTCTGAGAAAGATTGTATAGACATGGTATTAATTATTCCTTAAACATTTGCTAGAATTCTCCAGTGAAACAGACTGGGCCTGAAGTTTGCTTATTGTGAGTTGTAAAATTAGAAATTCAATTTCCTTACTAGCTATATGGCTATTCAAATGATAAATTTACAAAATTAAACATACTCTTAACCATATGACCTAGCATTCACACTCCTTAATATTTATCCAAATGAATTGAAAGCTTTATTCACAAAAACCTGCATGTAGATGTTTATAGCAGCTTTATTAGTCATTGCCAAAATTTGGAAGCAACCAAGATGTTCTTCAGTAGGTGAATGGATGAAGAAACTGTGTCACATCAAACAATGGAACATTATTCAGTACTAAAAAGAAGTGAGCTATCAAGCCATGAAAAGACATGGAGGAAATTTAAATGAATTTAACTATGTGAAAGAAGCCAGTCTGGGCTGGGGGCGGTGAGTCATGCCTGTAATCCCAGCAATTTGGGAGACTGAGGTGAGCAGATCACTTGAGATCAGGAGTTCAAGATCAGCTGGCCAACATGGTGAAACCCCGTCCCTACTTAAAATACAAAAATTAGCTAGGCGTGGTGGTGTGTGCCTGTAGTCCCAGCTACTCAGGAGGCTGAGGCAGGAGAATCATTTGAACCTGGGAGGCAGATGTTGCAGTGAGCCAAGATGGCACCACTGCATTCCAGCCTGGGCGACAGAGCGAAATTCAGTCTCAAAAAAAAAAAAAAAAAAAAAGAAGCCAATCTGAAAAGGCTACACACTAACACACTATGTAATTCCAACTATATGACATTGTGGAAGAGACAAAATTATTAAGATAGTAAAATATCAGTAGTTGCCAGTGCTTGCGGGGAGGGAGGAATGAACAGATGGAGCACAGAGGATTTTTAGGGCAAATGTATTCAATCAGCTGTAGTAATTTGTAAAACTTTTGGAATTTTTGGTCCATTTCATCTAAGCTGTAAAAAAATATCTGTAGAGTTGTTTGAGCATTCCTTTATTATCCCTTTTGAGATTTGGAAGGTCTATAATAATATCCCTTGTTTTATTCCTGATACTAGTAATTTGGGTCTTATTTTTTTCTTTCGGTCTTGTGAGAGGTTTGTTTTATATTTTGTTGATTATTTCAAAGAACTAGCTTTTTGTTTCATTGAGTCTCTCTTGATGTTTGTTTTTCATTTTCATTGATTTCTGCTCTTTATTTTGTTGAATTATGCTCACTTTGGGCTTCTTTTACTCTTTTTACCAGTTTCTTGAGGTGGGAGCTTAGGTTACCGATTTGCGAGTTTTCCTCTTTGTGTATGCACTTACTACTATAACTTTCCCATTCAGCACTGCTTTAACTGCATCCCACACATTTTGATATGTTTTCATTTTCACTCAGTTCAACATATATTTCAGAATTTTCCCTTGAGACTTCCTCTTTTATGCATTTATTATTTTAAAGTATGCCGTTTACTTTCCAAGTCTTTAGAGATTTTTCTTTTATCTTTCTGTTATTGATTTCTAGTTGATCCACTGTGCCAGAGAACACATTTATATGATTTCAACTTTTAAAAATCTGTTTCATGGCCCAGGATATAGTCTATCTTGGCATATGTTCCACGAGCACTTGAAAAGGATGTGCATTCTGCTGTTTTGAGATAGAGTGTTCCATAATCGCCGTTTAGACCCTGTTGATTTATGGTGGTGTTGCGTTCCTCTGTATTTTTGCTGATTTTCTGTCAAGTTGTTCTGTCAATTATTAAGGGAGGGACGTTAAAATCACCAACTATAATTGTAGATGAGTCTATTTCATCTTTTATTTCTATTGGCTTTTGCTTCACATGTTTTACAACCCTGTTATTTTGTGCATAAACATTTAGAATTGTTGTCTTCTCAGTGGCTTGACCCTTTAATCATGTAATATATCTCATTCCCTGACAACTTTTTTTTGCTCTAAGGTCTGCTTTACTTCATATTGTACAGGCACTGCTGTTTTCTTTTGATTAATGTTTGCAAGGTATACATTTTATTCCACTCATTCACTTTGAATCTACCCATATTACTATACTGGAAGTAAGTTTGTTAGACACCATATAGTTCATATAATTGCATTCGTTTTTATAAGCTCTACCAATCTGTCTTTTATATCTAATGTCCTTAGAGTTCATGTAACTACTACTGTATTAGGGCTTACAGTCTTCCACTTTTTAAATTAATAAACTTCACATTTTATAGTTTCAGGTTTACAGCAAAAGTGAGCAGAAATTACAGTTTCCATACATCTCGTTTCTGCACATACACAACCTATCAATATCCTGTGCTGCATTGGTACTTTTTTTTTTTTTTTTTTTTTACAATCAATGAACCTACATTTACACGTCATCACCTGAAGTTCATAGTTTACATTAGAGTTCACTTTTGGTGTTGTATATTCTATGGGTTTTTATAAATATAATGACATGTATCCCCACCATTGTAGTATCATACAGGACAGCTTCATTGCCCTAAAAATCTTCTGTGCTCCACCTATTCATCTCTCCCTCCCCACAAGCACTGGCAACCACTGATATTTTACTATCTTCATAATTTTGTCTCTTCCACTCTGTCATATAGTTGAACTATACAGTATGTAACCTTTTCAGATTGGCTTCTATCACTATTTAAATTTCCTTTGTGTCTTTTCATGGCTTGATAGCTCGCTTCTTTTTAGTACTGAATAATGTTCCATTGTTTGGATGTACCATAGTTTTTTGTTTGTTTGTTTTTGAGATGGAGTTTTGCTCTTGTTGCCCAGGCTGGAGTGCAGTGGCGCGATCTCAGCACACCACAACCTCCGCCTCCTGGGCTCAAGTGATTCTCCTGCCTCAGCCTCCTGAGTAGCTGGGATTATAGGAATGCGCCACCACGCCCAGCTAATTTTGTATTTTTAGTAGAGATGGGGTTTCTCCATGTTGGTCAGGCTGGTCTTGAACTCCTGACCTCAGGTGATCTGCCCACCTTGGCCTTCCAAAGTACTGGGATTATAGGCATGAGCCACTGTGCCCAGCCAGGATATACCATAGTTTCTTTATCCATTCATCTACTGAAGAACATGTTGGTTGCTTCCAAATTTTGGAAATGATTAACAAAGCTGCTATAAACATCTATGTATAGGTTTTTGTGTGAAGTTTTCAATTCATTTGGATAAATACTAAAGAGTATGAGTGCTGCATCATATGGTAAGATTATGTTTAGTTTTGTAAGAAAGTGTCAAACTGTTTTCCAAAATGGCTATAAAATTTTGCATTTTTACCAGCAATAAATGAGAGTTCTTGTTACTCCACATGCTTGCCAGCATTTAGTGTTGTCAGTGCTTTTGATTTCGGCCATTCTAATAGGTATGTAGTGGCATCTTGTTGTTTTAATTTGCAGTTTCCTAATAACACATTATTGTTGAATATCTTTTCATATGTTTACTTGTGATTTGTGTATCATTTTTGGTGAGATGTCTGTTCGGTATTTTGTTCTTTTTTTTTTTTTTTTTTTTTTTTTTTTGGAGATGGAGTCTCGCTCTGTCGCCTAAGCTGGAGTGCAGTGGTGCGATCATGGCTCACTGCAAGCTCCGCCTCCTGGGTTCACGCCATTCTCCTGCCTCAGCCTCCCAAGTAGCTGGGACTACAGGTGCCTGCCACCATGCCTGGCTAATTTTTTGTATTTTTAGTAGAGACGGGGTTTCACCATGTTAGCCAGGATGGTCTCAATCTCCTGACCTCATGATCCGCCCACCTCAGCCTCCCAAAGTGCTGGGATTACAGGCGTGAGCCACCGTGCCCGGCCGTTTTGTTCATTTTTAATTAGGTGTTCTTTCTCTTATTGTTAAGCTTTGAGTCCTTTCTGTATATTTTGGAGAACAGTTCATTATTAGATCTATCTTTTGCAAATATTTCCTCCCAGCCTATGACTTGTCTTTTCATTCCCTTAACTGTGTCTTTTGGAGAGAAGTTTTGAATTTTAATGAAGTCCAGTTTATCAATTATTTCCTTTATGTAGTGTGCCTTTGGTGTTGCATCTAAAAAGTCAACCGGGTTTTCTCCTATGTTGTCTTCTAGGGATTTTACAGTTTTGCATTGTACATCTAGGTCTATGATCAATTTTCAGTGAATTTTTGTGATGAGTGTAAGGTCTATATCTACATTTATTTTTTAACATGAGATATCCAGTTGTTCCAGCATCATTTGTTGAAAACACTGTCTTTGCTTCATTGTATGGCATTTCCTCCTTTGTCAAAAAATGAGTTGACTGTATTCATGTGGGTCTATTTCTGGGCCTCTATTCTATTCCATTGGTCTATTTATTTTTGCCAGTATGAATTACTGTAGCTTTATTTATCATCATTTTAGACCCAGTTGTTTAGTAAGTTTTGACGTCATGCCAAAGTCTTCCAACTTTGTTCTCCTTCAATACTGAGTTGGCTATTCTGGGTCTTTTGTCTCTCCATATAAAGTTTAGACTTAGTTCATCAATATCCATGAAATAATTTGCTGAGATTTTAATTGGGAATGTGTTGAATCTATAGATTAAGTAGGAAAAAACTGACATCTTGACAATATTGAGTCTTCTTGTCCATGAACATGGTTTAGTTCTTTGATATCTTTCATTGAAGTTAAGTAGTTTTCTTCATATACATCTTATACATATTTTGTTAGATTTACACCTAAGTATTTTATTTTGGCAGGGGGTAATGTAAATGGTAATGTGCTTTGAATTTCAAATTCCACTTAATTGCTGGTGTATAGAAAAGCAATAGACTTTTGTACATTATATTATATCCTGGGCAGGCGTGGTGGCTCACACTTGTAATCCCCGCACTTTGGGAGGCCAAGGCAGGTGGATCACTTGAGTCCAGGAGTCGACACCATCCTGGCCAACACGGCAAAACCCTGTCTCTACTAAGAACACAAAAAATTAACCGGGTGTGGTGGTGCATGCCTGTAGTCCCAGCTACCTGGCAGGCTGAGGTGGGAAGATCCCTTGAGCCCCTAAGGTGGAAGTTGCAATGAACTGAGATTGTGCCACTGCACTCCAGCCTGGGTGACAGAGTGGAACTCCATCTCAAACAAAACAAAACAAACCCAAAAACCATTGTATTCTGCAACCCTGCTGCAATTGTTTATCAGTTTCTTATTTGTCAATTCTACATGTCATCTGTGAACAAAGTATTTCCCTTTATTGTTGTATTGCACTAGCTAGGATTTCCAGTATGATGTTAAAAAACAGTGGTGATATGGGATATCCTTGCCTCATTCCTGATCTTAGCAGGAAAGCTTCACGTTTCTCACCGTTAAGTATGATGTTACCTGTAGGCTTTTTCTAAATGTTCGTGATAAAGTTTAGGAAGTTTTCTTTCTTTTTTCCCCCCAAAGATATCTTCCTAACATTCAAAGTTTTCTTTCTATTCCTAGTTTGCCAAAGGGTTTTTTTTTTTAAATCATGAATGTGTGTTGCATTTTGTCAAATGCTTTTTCTACATCTATTAATATGATCACATTATTTTTCTTCTTTAACCTGTTGATGTAATGGATTACATTAATTGACTTTTGAATGTTGAACCAGCCTTACATACCTAGTATAAATCCCACTTGGTTGCGTGTATAATTATCTTAATACACTTCTGGATTCAATTTGTTAATATTCTGTATGGGATTTTTACATCTATGCTCATAGGAAATATTAGCCTGTAGTTTCCTTTTCCTGTAATGTCTTTGTCTGGTTTCAGTATTAGGGTAATGCTGACCTCAGAGATTAAGAAGGATTCTCTCTGCTTCTATCTTCTGAATAACATAGAAAATTGGTATAAATTCTTTCTTAAATGTTTGGTAGGATTCACCAGAAATCTGGGTCAAATGCTGTTTCAAGGTCATTAATTATTGATTCATTATCTTTAAAAATCATAGGTCTAGTCATAGTGTAGCCATAAAATAGATTCTCTATTTCTTCTTATGTGATTTAAAGCAGATGTGTTTTTCAAGGAATTGGTCCATTTCTTCTAGCTTATTAAATTTGTGAACACAGTTGTTCATAATATTCCTTTATTATACTTTTAATGTCATGGGATATGTAGTCATGCCCTCTCTTTCATTTACTATTATTATTTTTTTTGAGAAGAATTCTCACTCTGTCACCAGGCTGAGGTGCAGTGGTGCAGTCTTGGCTCTCTGCAACCCCCACCTCCCGGAAGTGATTCTCCTGCCTCAGCCTTCCAAGTAGCTGGGACTATAGGCACGTGCCACTATGCCCAGCTAATTTTTATATTTTTAGTAGAGACTTGGTTTCACCACGTTGGCCACGATGGTCTCAATCTCCTGACCTCATGATTCGCCCACCTCGGCCTCCCAAAGTGCTGGGATTACAGGCATGAGCCACTGAGACTGGCCATTTTTTATATTAATAATTATATATCTTTACTTTTTTTTTTTAGTCTGGTTACAGACTTACTGATTTTATTGATCTTCTCAAAGAATAAGCTTTTGGTTTTTCTGACATTTTTTTTTCCCGGTTGTTCTCTTTTTTTCTTCCTGTGGGTTAATTGAACTTTTTTTTTTTTTTAATTCCATTTTGGCTTATCTGTAGGGTTTTTGAGTATATCTCTTTTCATAGCCTTTCTAGTGGTTGCTCTAGCTACTACATTGTATTATGTATAGCTTTTCATAGTCTACTGGCATCAACATTTTAATTGTTTGTGTGAGCCGAAACCTTACCTCTATGCCCCTTTTCTTTCCCACATTTATAACAATTATTTTCTCTGCATACAGTGAAAACCCCAATAGACATAATTATATTTTGCTTCAAAAAATGTAATTTCGAAACCCACAGAGGTGTATTGTATTTACCCATACTTTTACTGTTTCTACTCTTCCTCCCTGATCTTCCAAGATTCCTTCATTGATGGTTTCCTTTCTGTTTCAAGAACTTCTTTAGCATTTCAGCCAGAACCACAATTTTCTAATAATTCACCAAAATGACAAACACAAAAAGGAGGAGAGGCACCTGATATATGTTCTCTGGACCTTTTATAACATGCAGTTGTTCCTTTGGCCACATACACACGAATCTAACAAGAAAAGTCATACCATAGACATCAGTATGGGAACTGTTTGAAAAGGAATACCCACAAATGTTCCCATGGCAAAACTGGGAGTCCACAATGTTACCCACCATGCTATTGGCATTGTTGTAAACAAATTAAGGGGAATACTCTTGTCAAGAGATTAATGTGCATACTGAGTGTAGTAAGGACTCTAAAGGTTGAGATAGCGTCTTGAGAAGTGTGAAGGAAAATGACCAGAAAAAAAGGAAGCCAAAGAGAAAGGTACCTGGGCTTAACTGAGGCGCCAGCCTGTTCTTCTCAGAGAAGCACACTTTCTGAGAACCAATGGGAAGGAGCCTGAGCTGCCAGAACCTGTTCTCTACTAATTCATGCCATAATAGGTGTGTAACAACAACAACAACAAAAGACCTTTGCACTGTTTAAAAAAAACAAAAACAAAAACAAAAAAAACTTCCTTTAGCCATTTTATCAGGGCAGGTCTGCTGGCAACTAATTCTGTTAGTTTTCCTTTTTTGTGTTTGTCTTGTAGACAATGTGTCATTGCTTTTGGTTGCACTTTCCTGGTCCTTTAGCTACAGAGAATGGGCTCTTCTTGAGCCTCTGTCTACATACAGCCATTCCAGGTTGTTGGGTTCTCCAGTAACTGGTATTAAGTATGGGATATACAAGGCAGTAAGAAAATCCAGGGAACTCACCACTATTTTATTCCTTGATTCCCAAGGTCTCTAGCAATTCTGCCTTCTTTTTTCCAACTTTCAAAGTGTTCTTGTTTGTTTTATATATAATGTTCAGGGTTTTTTAAATGAGTTTAGAAGAAAGAATAGAGAAAAGTATGTTTATTCCATCTTTTGGAATCAGAAGTCCTTTTCCGATTATTTTGATGTGTGTGTGTGATGATCCTGTGGTCATCTTTTTAAGACATACTGATTTACAGATAAAATATAATGTCTGGGATGAACTTTGTAATAATTTGGCATGGGTAAATGGGTAGGAATATAGGTGGAAGTGAGATTAGCCATGAACGGATAAATATTGAAGATAAGTGACAGGTATATTACCCTATTTTATTTTTGTATATGTCCGAAATGCTCCTTTAAAAAAAATTTCCTGACTACCCCACTCTAATATTACAGAATCTTACAATAATCATGATTTATCTGTAGCTATTGTCTATGTTCCCTGGTAGAGTATAAACTCGTTAACAGGGATTCAGTCTATCTTGGTCACAATTATAAGCTCCAAAACTTTAAAGTGACTGGCATATAGTTGTTACTCAAATTACCACGTTTTGTCAAATACAAGATGCCATAGATTGTAAAATGTGTCTTAATTTTATGTACCAATAGGAAAAATTTCTGCAAATTGTGACACATACTACCAGTTTTCTTTTCTTTTCTTTTCTTTTTTTTTTTTTTTTGAGATGGAGTTTTGCTCTTGTCACCCAGGCTGGAATGCACTGGCATGATCTCGGCTCACTGCAAACTCCACCTCCTGGGTTCAAGCGACTCTCCTGCCTCAGCCTCCCAAGTAGCTGGGATTACAGATGCCTGCCACTATGCCCAGCTAATTTTTTATTTTTAGTAGAGATGGGGTTTCACCATGTTAGCCGGGCTAGTCTCGAACTCCTGGCCTCAGGTGATCCACCCACCTTGGCCTCCCAAAGTGCTGGGATTACAGGCGTGAGCCACTGCGCCCGGCCGACATACTACCAATTTTTAGAAGTATTTTGATTTGGGAGATGCTACAATGTGAAAACATGTCTATTGGTATCTGTGGAATAAATAAGCTGAAATAATGTGAGGTTTACATAATGGTGAATATGTGTTCAAGGACAGATCATGTATTAATTGATAACAGCTATATTTTTTAGTCTATTATCAATTCTTCAGTGAATGTTCCTTCCCAAATATTAAAAATTTATGTTCAAGTTTGTAGGACTATTACAAACCTTAATAGAAAATACAAGATTCCACAATGATGGTCTCCACCTTTTACCACCAAGAACCTCCTGTATTAATTTATCCCCAAGGTCTCCATATTTTAAAATACTTTGATAACCAAGTAAAGTTCACTTGTTAAGCTAATTTTGTCTTTTATGGATGAAATTATACTATTTGGATTGAGGTAATATAATTCCAGCTACAATAAAAGAAACTTCACCTTTTGCCCTACTTGTATGGATTCACTACAGGGAAATGTAACATTTCCATTAGAATATAACTTTGTAACCTCTAGTGCTACTTTCCTAGAGTCTAGGCCCCAGTGGAATGGGGATGGCAGTCACTGACTGGCTCTTAGCTCCTACATTAAGTCATCAAAGGGCATTTAGCTGGCCCATCTTACATTTATGTTAGGAGTTAGGCCATTTGTTTACACAGCTCTCCACAAAAGAGTCTTACTTTCTGTGTTTTGGAATACCCAGCTGGGTGACTTCTTACTTGGATTAATGATTTCTCTACCATAAGAACCAACCTACCCTATTCATGAAACATTTTAAAGAACGGGTCACTTAGTCTTGGGCTGCACAGGAGGAGACGAGTGTGGAGCTAGAAAAAGTGAGGACATGAAACAACCATGAATCTGCAACCAAAGCAAAGAATGGGAAAGATTTTAGTATCAACAGAACTAAAGACAGATTCTTCCAAATTTGAGAGATGACTAAAAATCTTAGTTATTGTGGTAAAAAACTTCAGTGACAAGTGGCTGCCTTCAGGTGCCAAATCTCACTATCCTCTCAATCTCTACATAAACAAAAAGTGTGATGGCCACCAGCCAAGGCCCTGTCTTTTTCCTGCCAGTAGCAGGAGGTCAGGCCATCCACTGAAGTGCCTTACGAATAGGATTTGACCGCCACTAGCGTTTCCTGACAGCTGATGGTAAACCAGAACAACAACAGGGTGGTTTAGGATTGTTTTGGAAATCTGAGTAGTAAGTGCTTCTGTGATGAAACTCCACTTTCGGTTAACACAGGATGGGCTTTGGCTTTCACTTTAACCTCTGAAAGACATTATTATTTATGTTTGTCGCCAGATTTAAAAATGCATAATTGTGATAAAGGACGTTAAACAGAACCCAAATAATGCCTAAACCTAATTGTTTCCCACCAGTCCAATTTTATTTAGATTTTATGTGCTCACATATAGACACACTTAAAGAGCATACGTTTATATATACATATATAAAATATAGATGATATGGGAGTTTCTGACAAAGTGATTTATTAATGAAAATTCATTCACTATATAACCTTTGAATACCAGAGAAACTTCAATATGTACAAATCAGCATGAAGTTCCCAGTTCTCAAACTTTGGTTATATGAATATGCCTCAAGCACCACAAAAGAAACATTAGTCCTAATTTAAAAAGAAAAAAGTACCAAGAAACAAAAAAAATCTTCAATTCTCTTGAATCTGTTTTCTTTACACCACATCAGGAAAACCTCCTTTTATTCCACATTTCCTTTCATCTCAGCCAGTCTCCAAAACTGGTATAAAAAAATACTGATCAGAGGAAAAAAGACAGACAAACCATTACAGATAAAAATGATACCTCAAAAGTACAATTTCTGGAAATTATTCTATCTTAAATAAAGAAACTATTTTAACCTAGGAGGTTTGCATTATGCAACACATATGAAAAAAACCCTAATTATTAATTTTCAGAATTTAAAAACTTAAACAATGCAAGCATATTAAGAGTTGAGTGGAAGGCTCACAGGGAGATTTTTAGCAAAATCAGTTAAAGAGATTCCTGGATTTCAACTTGTTTCCTGGCATCGCTGGCATCTGCGGGCTGCAGAAGCAACTGGTATAATATATGGGCAGGAAGAAAGAGACCCGACAGGCTGAGCACAACCTTCCATGGGATTTCACAAGAGATCTGATGGACAAAAGAAATAAACATCAAAGAATGAAAAACTGAAATAGAAGAAAATAGAAACAAAACATATCTAAGTCCACGTGAGTCAGGATGGAGGGAGTTTAGATGTACCAACTGACAACTGCACATGTGTGGAAGAGATTGCGTCCTTGACTACAAATGTGGATTATGTACACATTTATATTAACTTAAGTCAATTCATATATTACACCTGACAGCTCAAACAGGACGTCTCTGGTGGGAGGTGGGAGGAGATGCTATTCGCTCGGCTCCTCAGGTCCCTGTCCTTTGCCCTGAATGGTCAGCGGTCTCTGCACAGGACTCGACAGCATGGTATATGAATGGATAAAGCTTGATGTCTGGTCCAGGGGTGGAACAGTTTCTGCATTCTTCATTGTAGTATCGTAGCAACAGCTTATACACATCTCCTGGAGAGCAAAAGGTCAGACCAGAGGCACATTAAAGTATGTAATTGAAAAAACCTTAGAAAGAACACTCCAGTTTTATCTTAATCTAAATGGCATATGCTCAGACTTGGCTTTTGAAAATACAGCATGAATTTCATATGCCTGAAAGGCTTTCCCAACATAAATTAAACAAGATTTTTAACACTCTTTAAAGAAACAACTTCTTTGCTCATGATAACAACAGGCTATCCATGGTACACTGTCCATGCACCCTCGTTATGCACTGTCATGGCAGCCCTCGTTATACACTTTGCTCCTGAGGTAGCAAGCACACTGGATGAGCGCTGGCAGGTCTGAGAAACAGGACAGTGGGGCTTCTCAGATCTGAACTTACCCTCATTCATCTTTCCCATTTTAGATTTTTATAGACAGAAAAGTAAAAATGAACACCAACTTCAGCTTCTTGACCTTACTTTAGTAAGCTGATATACCCTATCAAGACTGTGGATGAAACTCTGCCAGAACAAAAAGACTCTGCAAATGCTGCCCCTCTGAGGGTTTGTCCTTCCTGCTTAGAGCCATGCTTTTGTTTCTTCGTACCCACTGTGATTCATCCAGATTTAGCAAGTGTTCCCACTGAATGGTGTACAATCCATCTAGATACCAAGTGTCAAGAGTATCTCCTACTTACCAACAGTGAGTTTCCTTTCAGTAAGGAAAATGTGCATGCTGTAAATGTCTCTCATCAATTCTGAGTCCCCAAAGGTGAAATAAACCACATCTCGCTCAGCTGCAGCAGCTGCCAATATCTGTATTAAGGCTGAGGCAAAGAGAAAAGACACGGCTATATCATGACATTTTCCACCTAGATACCTTTAGCTCTTTACCAGCTGGTGTGCCACAGCTTCATCCTAGATTAAAGATTTATAAACCCAGTATACATGGTATTAGAAATGGGGAACACAAGGCTGGGCGCGGTGCCTCACACCTGTAATCCCAGCACTCTGGGAGGCTGAGGCAGGCAGATCACCTGAGACCAGGAGTTCGAGACCAGCCTGGCCAACATGGTGAAACCCTACTAAAAATACAAAAAAAAAATTTAGCCGGGTGTGGTGGCAGGTGACTGTAATCCCAGCTACTCGGGAGGCTGAAGCAGGAGAATTGCTTGAACCTGGGAGGTGGAGGTGGCAGGTGAGCCGAGATCGCACCACTGCACTCCAGCCTGGGTGACAGGGCAAGACTCCATCTCAAAAAAAAAAAAAAAGAAATGGGGAATACAGGATGGACATAAATCATCTAGTTGTGTGGCTTTTCAGACATGCTGCCAAGAATATCATCAAACTATAGAATTCCAACACAGGCACCTTTGCTGAACCACAAATAAAGGAAGCTGCAAACCATGGGACTAAGGTAGTATTTATATTCGCTTCTATTAATCTGGAACTAAAATTTTTTGTGTTTGCTTACTTGATATAATTGCTGTGTCTTATCACACAGCCACTGGCCTTTTGTATAGGCACATTTGGGAGGTTCTAATGTTCTCCTTAATCCCACAGCAGGAGTTCTCAAAATGGGCTGGGGAGCACACCTGCGTCCCTCCTGCACTCCCACCTCCACTGGCCACTGCAGAACTCCCGTTCTGCAGAGTTCCTGAAAACACTGGACAGTCACTCTCTGGTGTGTTATAAGAATGAAAAAACAATCGAGATCTACTATCTCCAGGAATCAAAGTTACAAATCACTGAGCCTGAAGTATGTTTCCGAAAATTTAGTTACCTTACAATCTCAATAGATAGGATTTTAAATAACCACAAAATTGAATACAGTTACAATAAATGCCCTTTCGCTAGTTATAAATCTCTTACTTCATAAAAGGGAAGATGGGAATCAAATTAAAACATTAAAGAGGATATATATATTTTTTGAGATGGAGTCTTGCTCTGTCACCCAGGCTGGAATGTAGTGGTGTGATCTCAGCTCACTGCAACCTCTGCCTCCCGGGTTCAAGCGATTCTCCTGCCTCAGCCTCCCAAGTAGCTGGGATTACAGGAGCCTGCCACCATACCTGGCTAATTTCTGTATTTTTAGTAAAGACACGGTTTCACCATGTTGGCCAGGCTGGTCTCGAACTCCTGACCTCAAGTGATCTGCCCGTCTCGGCCTCCCAAAGTGTGGGGATTACAGGCATGCGCCAATGTGCCTGGCCAAAGAGGGTATCTTTTTACAGTTTTGATTTTTGACAGCATGTTAATATTCTACATATTTACAAATTAAAATTAAAATACTAAGAATGGGAA
The DNA here is from genome assembly GCF_000001405.40 of Homo sapiens. Classification (NCBI taxonomy): domain Eukaryota; kingdom Metazoa; phylum Chordata; class Mammalia; order Primates; family Hominidae; genus Homo; species Homo sapiens. The sequence goes on from NC_000010.11 coordinate 49,821,771, forward strand.
TGGGAAGAAACCTACAATTGAAGGTAAACTAAAATAAATGAGCGTAATTTTAGTCCAAATAAATAACATAACCACATTGAAGGGAAAGGAAGAAGAACAGGAAGAAAGAAAGAACCCAAGTAACTTACAAAGACAATATATGACTTATATAAGTCCATAAGACCATAATATATGGTCTTAGGCCAGAAAGAGAGAACTGCAAACAAATTCCCAACTCTTTTTACAAGGTTTGCTTACCATAGTAGTAGAGGTGAAGCAACTCTGAAACTATTTTGAATTGTATTAGAGGAATGAGCAAATGAATAAATGTGTTGATGCTGCTGGGAACAGGTGTCTCACTATGGAAGGAGGGACACACAAAAATGGAATGGAGGAAGACAAAAAAGAACTGTGTGAGGATGGACTGAAATGGAAGGCATTGGTGTATACTCATGATGTCGAAAATATGTGTATCTGTGTGTGTGTGTGTGTGTATGTGTGTGTATGCACATATATATTTCCTAGCTCTGTCTGCTAAAAGGGCCAAAAGGGAGACACCACAGTAGCAATGAGCACACTCAGCACCCAAATCTTGGTCTCTACCATCATTCCCCCTAAATGGAACTAGATTTCTCAAGAAGTGCTTAATGCTATAGTTTGGACAAGAAAGGTACAAGATGACCTCAAAATATTTTGTTATACCAGAAGGTAAAGTAGTGCTCAAATGGATAAAACAAAACGAAACAAAAAACAGACGGGCCAGCTCTTCCCCACAGGAGAAAGCCAAAGACTAACTGGTAAGTGTGGTTGGGGTGTTAGAATAGGAACATCCTTTCTTTGCAACCACTGTGGTAAAGGTCAGGCAAGAATCATTAACAGATGCCAAATCTAGGGAAAATTTTGCCTTTGTTTTCCTACAGATTGCTTATTAGTTACAAGAGAGGAAAAAAATCCTCAACTCTGCAGTGGGGAAACTGGGCAACAGCCTGACACAGTGATCAAAATTAAGATCACCAGTAGTGTCAGATGGCCATCAAGTGCCTCTTGACAGTGTCACTGATGCAGCATTCTGACAGAGAATGCATAACCTCAACCTCATCACAAGGAAACAGCAGACAAACTCAAAGAACGTTGTATTCTTTAAACACATCAATGTCATAAGAGACAAAAAAAGGCTGTGGAAATATTCTCAATTCAAAAGGAGGCTAACAAACATGACAACTAAATGCAGTAGCTGACCCTGGACCCTGTGCTAGAGGGGAAAAAGGCTAGAAAGGGCTTTATTAGGTCATCTGACAAAATGAGAATATAGATGAAAGAGTAAATAAGATATCAGTGTACATTTATGAATTTAATAACTATAATGTGTTTATATAAGATAATATTTTATTCTTAAATACAAATTGAAGTATTTAGGAAAGAGGGCATAGTATATGTAAGTTAAGCTCAAATAATTCAGAAAAAAATTATGTGCATGTGTATACATATATATGCATACATAAAGGTGTGTATTTTTATTTTTATAAATTTGAAATTATTTTTAAATAGAAAGTTTTAAAAATTACATAGGAAGAAAAAATTTTAAGTTGAACCAGTAAAATTTGATATCGTTGAGTATTTCCCAGATTTGGGAAAGAATCTATGACATAATATATGTAAGACCCTAAAATACCATCAAAGTATGTCCTAATTCCCAAACTAATATTTATTGAGTACCCACAACATGGGAGGTGCCATGACTATGCCTCATTAATCTCAGAGTATTGAAAGTAATTAACTTCAAAATAGAGATAAGTTTTAATTAAAACTGCTCAACCAACTTATCCATACATTAAAGTTTCAATACACCCTATTTCAAAAGGTTCTTAATTAACCTAAACTACACATAAAAATGGGAACGAATGAATCATCATCTTTCTCCACCAAGAAGTACCATTTCTTACCTTTTACTGAAAATGAAAATTTAGCTTTAAGTATTTACTATTAAAAAAGACAGAGACCCAAAGAAGAGTCCTTTTCATCCTATTTCCTACTAGATCTCTAGTCATTTGCCATTTGTGAAAATGAAGTATTAATAAAAAACATTTAAAATTTATCTCTTTATAGAATTTATTTTATATTAAGAGAAAATCAAAAAGTAAAACCAATTCACATTACATTCTTGATTTCACACCCATTTCTATTAGAGTACATATTGTACCATAAGCACGTGTTAGACTAGTTAGGACTGGCAGGCAGGAGATCCAAGTTCTATCTTCAGCCTTCTGCCAGCTATCTAGCTCTGTGACTAGCCAGTTACTCTCTGGGCCTCATTTTTCTCAACTACACCATGGAGTTAAATCAGATGCTCCCTGAAGATTCTGTCAGAGTTTAGAAATCCATAATCACTGTTATAATTGTTTTCCCTCCATTGAATGCTAGACTATACATACATAAATGAAATTTCCAGAAAGATAATCTCGATCCTAGATACATCAGTAAACACTGACAAAAGTTTATTTTAAAACATCACTGTCTTCAGGCCTCCTTGTCTACAACACCCCCAAGATCTTTGCAAATCTACACAATTATGCCTCATGATTTAAGTGAACTCTCTTGCATCAAAAGTTAGAAGAGAATAAATCACAAGTCTATTAGAGTATGTGGACTGATTCCAAGTATGATATAAAAACATCGAATTCTAACTTCAAGCACAACTATGTGCCAAAATAATCACTTAAATTAACCTGCAGGGAGCTTGGTTTTAATTTTCTTTTTGGCATCAATGTTAAGCTATGAAAAAATACAAATAAATATGAATAACATGAAAAGCAATTCATAGTGTCCTGTTGCAACAAATGGACCAAGCACAAAATGGGTAAGATGATTGATACTCACACCACAAGTGTGGTGTGAGGCCACCAGCATGTAATATTGGTAACAACTGCTAACACTGGGCTCTTATAGCATGCTGAACACTGTTCTAGGAGCTTTACAAATACTACCTCGTGATTCCTTACAAAAACTCAACAAGAGAATTATTATTTCCATATTGAAAATAAAGAAATTTAGGCATCAAAAGGTTATGTAATTTGTCTCAGGTCACACAGCCAGAAAGCGGTGGAGCTGACTGGGCCACCAACTCAAGAATGCATGCCCTTGCCCACTGCTTCTGGGCTGCTGTGGCAATCCACCCTGGTCAACTCCAAGCAGACCTTACCACATGCCAGCCAGAGCAATGTCTTTACATTGTTTATTCAAACGATTTAAATGCATGCTGTCAAGGAGGCCAAAATAGTACAGATTTGAAAGTACTATGCATGTCCTTCTACTGAGCTCACTTTGTGAGCTCTCACATTTTGGGTACCCTGAGAGCTCAGCTTTGCTCACCAGTACCAAAAGCATTTCACTTCTTGTTTCTACCACACAGCACTCTTCGAGGCCAACTCTTATTCTCCAATTGGTCTTGTCCTCTGGCTACTGTTTTAAATCTTGACACTCCCTCCTTTTCCACTATGGATGTTACTAATGGCTCAATCTTTGGTCCTCTCACCTGCTTTAAATACACTCTCTCTTCAAGAATGCAGCCACCATCTCTAGAATGGTAACTCCCAAATCTAGATCCAGATCCAGAGCCTGCAGCCAATACGGATTAAATAACAAAAGCACACAAGGGCTTCAATCCTGGTTTGCATCCTGGCACTACCACTTGCTATCTGTATGACTCTAGGCTAATTTACCTCTCGATGCCTCAGTTGTTGCCCCTATACAGACAAAAAAGAAAACTTACCTAAATAGGTTGTTGTGTGCTAATACAGGTAAAGAATATATTTAGTACAATTCCTAGAACATAGTATGCACTCAATATGTTCTCAACTAATAATAACAATAGTAATGAACATATATTGGTTTTTAAGAAGATGGAGCCAAGTTTGAATGTTGGTTCTGACACTTGCTAGCTGCTCTCTTGGGACAGGTTTATTGGCTGTCTATAAACCTTGGTTTCTCATTCTTAAAAGAAGGGCAATAAATGGAAGGGTAACTGTGCAAACCATAAGAGAAAATGCAGTGACTGTTAAACCTGGCTGATCCCAGCTCACAGATAGTTAAAAAAATTCCTAAAGCCATTTTCCAAGTCCACTAACTCAGCAGTATCTCTGAGGTGCTGACACAGGTTGAGTATCCCTCATCTGAAATGTTTGGGACCAGATTGGTTTTGGATTTCATTGTTTTTTTGGTAATATTTGCAATATCAGTTGAGCATCTCAAATCTGAAAATCTGAAATTGAAATGCTCCAAAGAGCATTACCTTTGAGCATCATGCGCTCAAAAACTTTTGGTAAATTTTGGAGCATTTTGAATTTTGGATTTTCAGATGTGGGATACTCAACCTGTAAGAAATAGATACTTGCTCCAGACACCTTTGAATGCACATTATCATGCCAGACCCCATTCTCAGCACTGGGGCCACAAAAAAGGATAATACAGAAATGTTAAGAAAGTAATCTTCCTGAGCAAGGCTGAGAGAGACCAAGAGAGTGTGATCTGTTCTGGCAGAAGAAAGCAAAGTGAGGAGGAGCCTGTGGTAGACAAACGAGGTGACCTGATCCAATGCTCTATACTCCTACCTTCCATTTTTGGTTGGAAGTCACCCTTTCCCCAACTCCCTAACCACACTTCCTATAAAACTCAGTCAAAGGGCTAGTCTAGGCCAATCACAGCATGGTAGAAAATGACATATCAGCACTGTCTAAATTCTTTTTCTAGAGAAATGGTCTTTCTGGAGTTTAACTATCTTGATTCCAAAATTACAAAATAACTAGTGAAGACATTATTTAAGTTTGATATAAATGGACATAAGGTCTGAAAGAAATTTATAAAAAGTTTCTATATCTCAGAAACATTTCACTTAATATACATATGTCATGGAAATAAATTAGAAATCCTTTAAATCTCATTAGTGGATGTGTCTTGTGTTTCTTGATCCCTGGCTATGACAATTTGGTCCAAGGGATGAGAAGTAATCCCAATTGGTCAAATTAGAGTATTTTTGTGGCATTTTAAAACTAAGGAGTCCTCCTTTCTTCTTGGGTCACTCAACTGCAGGGTTGCAAGACTGGAACTATTTGGTCCTGGTTCCTGTCAGGCAGAGATAATCTGATGGAGACAGATGAAAATGAGGCCATTATATTGAAAGAAGCAGGCAGGAGAGGAACCAACACAAACAGAGGGAGAGCCTGATTCTAGGATCAACTCATACCTGAGGCCAACTCTACCCTGCTTTTCTCAGCCACGTCAAGCAACAGTCCCCTTTTAGGTGGAAGGTATAAGCTACATTAGTGTCTCTTTCAACCAAAAGAATCCTAATACAGAACTTTTCTGGTGGAAGGGAAGGAGGGTCTTTCTGGAGTAGTTACCACTGGAGTAGAATCTTACAAGGGACCGAAGTAATTAGCCAGGTACAGACAGACAGTTACAGAAAAATGGGCAAAGCCCAAGATTAATTAAAGGCACACAGAAGCTACTGAATATATTTGTTAAATAGAAATTCATTGAGCATATTTTATTTGCAAGTCACTTTTAGGTACTGAAGGTAGGGAATGGGGATAGAAAAGAAAATGCAAAAAATGCAACAAGACACATTTTAATGATAGTAAACTGGCAATGGCATACTTGTTTACAGGTCAGGTAACATATACGGGGAAGTCCAAGGGAGAGAATACAGTCACGGGTTCTTAGTTTCTGTTCCTGATTGGGCCAGTAAAGCCCTTCCTCATCCCTCTTTTCCGCTTACCACTAGGGAGAGAAACTAAATACCACAGCTTCAGGCTGCTAAGCACCTAAAACAAAACAAAACAGAACAAAAACAACAACAAAATAAGGCAAGTTGGAAGAACTTGTAAGTAAACAGCAAAGGAAATGCTAGGAGAAATTTACAAAAGCACAACAGAAGAAGGAACATTAAAGTAGCACTCAATTCCTTCACAAAATAAGCAAGTAAAGTCACAAGGACAGAGTCTGACCTAAAAGGTATGGAATCTTACAGCAAAAGAGTAAGTCTTATTTATACCTTTCAGAGACACCTTTTCAAGTGCCAACATGTCTGCAATAATTGACTATGTTAGGCCATGAAGAGAAGTTCAAGAAACACCAAAAAGTAGAAATAGTATTATCTACATTCTTTGATTACAATGTAATAAAATTAGACATGAGATAAAAGCAAAATTTTTAACAAACTAACCAGTGAGATAATTTTAAGTTATCTCCTAAAATTCTCACGGGTGCCTAGGGTCTGGTGGTACATTTGAGGCAGAAGCCCCCCACGCAAAAATCTCTGCTGAGACGAGATGTAGAAAGCTTAAACAAAAAAAAAAAAAAAAAAAAAAAAAAAAAAGCTCCTTCTACCCCAACCATGAGAAAAGCCCAAATGTTGTAATCTACAAAATTATGACTTTTTCTGAGTTTATAAGAGAGCTGAGTTTTTGAGGCAACCAAAGGGTGACAAGCCCCTCTGAGAAGATAAAACACATGAACTGTTTTATGTTTGAAAGTAACAGGAGAAAGAGGTGGTCACCACACAAATGGGTAGGAATAAATCAGCTAAAACTTCAATGAAATGTTAAAAGCCAAGTATGAACTAGGGGGTCACTTTGGAACAGTTAGGAGCACCAGAAATAAGTAGAGCTTGCACTGGCTCGAAAGCTTTCACATGAGTTCCACAAGGTGCTCAGAAAAATGCAGGTCAGGTAGGAGACCACAGGGAGCCCCTTTGGTGGCACAGGCATGCAGGAGGCCACTGGCTGCTGCTGGAGCCAGGCCCAAAGCCCCTCCATCTCCCCCTAGTCCCTTCTCTCCTAGCCTGTGGCTCTTAGGGCCACTGGCTGCCTGAGGAAGAATGTTGTTAGTAAACTGTCTATTGAATGAACTAATATATTAAAAATGTTCTCTTAATAGTTGTCAAAGTAATGTACAATTAAAGCAGTTCAAAACTAATTGTGAGGCTGGGCATGGTAGTGCATGTCTGCAGTCCCAGCTACTTGGGAGGCTGAAACAGGAGGATCCCTTGAGCCCAGGAGGTTGAGGCTGCAGTGAGCTATGATCGCGCCATTGCACCCTAGCCTGGGTGACACAATGAGACCCTGTATCTTACAAAAACAAACAACTAATTGTGGTAAAACACAAAACTCATGTACAATTAAGTAACAAGCATGTTAAAAATATTTTGCCAGCCGGGCACGGTGGCTCATGCCTGTAATCCCAGCACTGTGGAAGCTGAGGCAGGTGAATCATTAGGTCAGGAGTTCGAGACCAGCTTGGCCAACATGGTGAGACCCTGTCTCTGCTAAAAATACAAAAAATTAGCTGGGCGTGGTGGCAGGCACCTGTAATCCCAGCCACTCGGGAGGCTGAGGGAGGAGAATTGCTTGAACTCAGGAGGTGGAGGTTGCAGTGAGTCGAGATAGTGCCACTGCATTCCAGCCTGGGCGACAGTGCAAGACTCCGTCTCAAAATAAAAAAAAAAAAATTTGCCTTCTTTCTTTTGTAATTTTCTTTTTTTGTAAGAGATGTGGTCTTACTAGGCTGACCTTGAACTTCAGGGCTCAAACATTCCTCCCACCTCAGCCTCCCAAGTAGCTGGGACTATAGGCGCATACCATTGTGCTCAGCTTAGCCTTATTTCTATTAATAATTAAAGAAATACAAGTTTAAGGATTTATACCTGCCCATGTTACCCACCATGAACATTTTTTATAAGATTTTTTTGTTACAAAAACAATATATGCTCACAATAAAAAAGATGCAGATTAAAAATAAAGTATAAAACATCACTGACCAAGTGTGGTGGCTCACAAGTGTAATCACAACACCAGCCTAGGCAACATAGTGAAACCCCATCTCTACTAAAAATAAAAAATGAAAAAACCCCCAACAAAACAAAACAAAGACTATCACCCACTAGAGAACAACCATAGTTAATCCTGGCACGTAAACAGATGAACATAGAGAACTGCAAATTTGTGTGTGATATTTTATATTCACAATTTAATTTTAAAATGGTTTATATGGCATACATTGGGTATTTCTCCCATTTGTCAATATTCCAAAACCATCTTTCCCTGTCAGCAGACACATTTCTATAATGGTTTTTAAAGGAAGCATAATATTTTATTGCATAAATGTACCATAATTTCTTTTTTTTTTAGCATCATAGTTTAGTAACCAATTCCCCATTGAAGGACTTTATGACTCATTCTAAATTTTTAATGAATATTTATGCTAATGAAGGGGAGGGAAATGTCAGTTACTCCAAAATTTAAATCTCAATAGTTGAGGAAATGAATTATATAATGGAAATCTTAGACTACTATGCTTGATAGTCACCAGAGCAAGCACAGCTGCAGTCTGAAAGGCTTTTAAGCCAGAAAAAAAGAAAAAAGGAAAAGAAGTGAACACATTTATAAAGCTTTCCAAACTGTCTATCACAAATGACCACGGCTTACAGCAGACCTAGCTTCTGGATTGATGACTTGAATCTAGTCATTCATTTTACTTAAGAGAAAGACAGGAAAAAAGTATCTGTCGTAAGATCAATAAGCCCAGAGTGAAAAATAGGTTTCCTCAAACACCGAAAATAGCACCATGCAGTTTTTGTCTTTGAATTTGAAGAAAATGTAGGTGAAAGTCTTTAGCATAAAGGGACAGGAAACATCTTTATAAGCACACCACAAAAATGTGAACACATAAAAGCTAACTCAGTAACTTCAGCCTGATCGGTTGAAATAAATGAAGAAGCAGAAAAATGTTTATAACATGTAACAGTTAAACAATTAATATTTTTTAATATACAAAGAGTTATTACTAGCCAGTGATAAAATCAAACTACTCCCAAAGAGATGAATGGGCAGAAGGCATGAAAAAGCAATTCACAAAACAAACAAATGGCCAATAAACACGAAAACTGTTGAACCTTAGAGAAATGAAAAATAGTAACAAAGTCCTGTCTTGGTGATGCTGTTCATGTGAGGAAGACAATGTGAATTGATATCACCTTTCAGAGTGAAATCTACAAGGATCAAAATGAAGTATACGTATTCTTTGAGTCATTAATCTCACCTCTAGGAATTTACCTTAAGAAGATAATTACACATAATATATATAATTGTACTACACACTGTAGTACTCCTTATAATATAATGAAAACAAACTCTGAATGGAGAATCTGTGAAATAAATTATGGTACATATGTGCATACAACAGAATACTGTGTAGCCACTAACAAATGCTGAGTACTCAGTAGATCTACATTTGTTAGATGGATAGTTGAAAACTATCCATGAGACTGCAGACTTTCTAAAAGGAGGAGGCTGGAGAATAGAATAGAGGGTGTCACTTCATCAAGTTACATACATTGCTACTGAGATGACCTGAAGAATGGTCACCAAATGCTGACAGTGAATTCTAGTGATTTTTATATACTTCATGGTATTTTTCTAGATTAAAAAAAAATAATAAATGTGTCATTTTTATAAAAATATTAAGAAGCATTTTACTGATGAGGGGAAAGGCAGTTACATTATGACAGACTCAAGTATTCTCAAAGAGATGAATTTTATCTAAATATAGTTCAGCTATTAAGGCCAGCTGGCTGTTTTATGTCTGCTTTATTGCTTGTTACTTTGTAACTGTGGTATAAAAAAGAATTTTTCTGGTGTGCCATCTTGGGTTCCTGGTAAAAGCTTCAAACACCCTTGGAATTTCCTGAGTGCTGGTGCCTTTGTTCTGCTAATGAGGCGATTCAGATTGCACATCCGGGAGTCAGGGGAGGGCAGAGACCGAGCTCAATCATGTGGCCAATGATTTAATCAATCATGCCTACAGAATGAGACTTCAATGAAATCTTTGGTCACCAAAGGTCAGTGCAGCCTCCTGACTGGTGTACACGCTGATGTGCCAGGAGAGTGGGGTGCCCTGACACTAAGGGGAAGGGTTGTAGAAGCTCTGCTTTCCCTTCTAGGCTTCGCTTTATGTGTCTCCTTTATAATAAAACTGCAGTGGTAAGGACAGGACTTTTTTCTGAGTTCTGTGAGTCATTCTAGTAAATTATGGAACCTGAGGTGGGGACATGGGAACCTCCTACAATAGTAACCAGCTGGACAGAAATGTGCGTGGCCTGGGGATTCCCCTGAAACTTGTGGATGGAGTCTGAAGTGGGGGCAGTCTTGTGGACTCTGTTCTTAATAGGCGAGATCTGCGATTACTCCAGGTAGTCAGTGTCAGATTTGCAATGCAGTACACCCAGGTGGTGTCAGACCAGTTGGGATGAAATGGAAAAGTAATCATCCTAAGTAATGATATAGTATTATTTTCTATAACTGATACTTTGAAAAAATGTCAATGTAGTAAATGGCCAATAGCTTTGTTGATCGGATTTTGTGAATTTCCTACCACAAACAATAACACGTAAGAAATGTTTCTGCTTCTTGGACATCCAGATGCCTCCTATCTGTGCCATTCATGCAGCTCTCCCAGGCTGTGCTCCCACAGCCCCATGGGCCTCCACTACAGCACTCATTCCCATGTACTGCATCGGTCTCATACTGCCTCTCTCTCATACACTGGACTGTGAATTCCAAAGCAGGCATCACATCTTCTCCATCTTTGTATCTCAGAGCCTACCACTGTGCCTAGAAAGTGGCAGAGGTGCTATTAAATTTGGTGGATGAATGAGTCTGTGAAATAACTGTCCATAAAAATCACTCCAGTGGAGGAAAGTGAAAACTCAGGTTTGAAACTTCGCAGTCATTATATGCTCTTCTCCTCCTGCCAATCTTTCAATACTCAACAAAATACTGTGTCTGGGGGATCAAAGTGATAAGCGACCTCTGAAGGAAAATGGTAAATGAAATAAGAATTCCTTCAAACATAATAGGAAAAAAGAAAATAGTGTTAAATATTCCTTTTCCTTTTCTCTTAGATTTTTGTGGTCTCATGACAGGACATGAGAAATCTGGTTTGAAGGACTAACTTTTTTTGTGTGGGCAGAATGCTTTTATCCTTTTCTACAACAACTTACCTTTTAACCTGGCATCACCCCCAAAGGCACCACAGCCCCAGTTTCCTGTGGCCACTGCAGAAAGATTCTCTGAAGAAACTCCAGGACGGAGAAATCCACAGTAAGCCTGCAGGATAAAAGAATTATCAAAGCCTGTGAGTGCCTAGACACTAACAGTGTTTCTGACTGATGTACTAGGATCAGTGTCCATTATCAAGCTTATGTTCAATTTCTCATTTTTTTTTTCCATAGGGGCCAAAATAGAGGGAAAAACAAAGAGGGAGAAAGGGAGAGAAAAACCTGGGATTATGCAAGGAAGAGACTAAGAAATGATAAATTCTAATATTTATTTGTTTGAATGCTAAGCACATAAAATCCCTTAAACTAATACAGGTCCCAATTTATTTTTCCACTTCAAACAAACAGAAATGAAAATAGCAGATATTTCAAGAACTAATAGGATCCCAATTATAAACTACTAGGAAAAACTACCAGGAAAGGGACTTGTTAGAACAGTTTTCTTTTTCTTTGAAGGCTTTAATCACTATTTTTTTCATCAGGCAAAGGGTCACTATTATGCCTCCTCAGCATTCTCTCTCTCAGTTATGGAGATTAGATTAATAAATGTGCTTCCTGCTACTGACATACTTAACAAAGAGCAAGCAACTATCTATAGAAGGGATTCCTATACCTGGTTATGAAATAACCTTTAAGATGCCTTTTGGCTCTAAGATTCTCTAGTTTCACAGCTCTGTTTTAAGCTAGAATATTTAAAAACTTGCCAGTAATGTGAGAAAAGTACAATATATTCTGAAGATGCTGGCTAAGTATTAATTAAATGAACAGCTCATTTTCTATATGAGAAGACCATTGTGTAAGATCCCAGAGTTCCTGATTTCCACCTCTTTGCTGTCAGCTAGTTGGTCTTTCTGCCTTCTTTCTAAATTCTTATTTTCTGAAGTGATCAGACTGTAACAGGCTTAATACAGCAGCAAAGCAAAACTCCCCTGGGTTCTCAAGTTCCAAACGAAGCCTAAAATATAGCTTACATATAATAGCAAATACAATTAAAAGAATGATCTTGACAAATGTTCCCAGAGAAAAACCAAGGATAAAGAAAGATGCTTCTATGAAACCCACACATAGAAATATATTAAATTGTTCTTTGAAGTTTCCACAAAGGTATAAAAATTTATTTTACAGACTGTCTCGATGGATTAACAAGGCTATTCCTTCCATACCCTCCTAGACTGTAAATCCTGACAGATATTAATTATAAGTTGGTACCAGATCATTATTCAACACTGTGGTATAGAGCTTACACAAGCGCTCACAAATTACCTGCATAGTCAGATGCATGGAGCTTCTGAAAATCTCTTTCAGGTCAAAAAAATCTGAGAGCTCCATTTGTTTTGAATAGGCTCTTGAAAGATAGTCTGTGTCATTAACGAACAAGGGAAAAAACAAACCCTCTGGAAGAATAAACATAACTTTGCCGCTTTGTTTCATGTCAGAATTTTCTAACATGCCTAGAGAGAAGAAGGCTTCCTCAGATTCCTAGTTCATTTCTCTGTTTTATACTATCAGGATGGTTTTAGTTTCTTTCTTACTGCTGTCTCTAAATAACTGGGTTAACTTTACTTCAATGTGCAAAAATAGCTTAGTGAAACTAAGGCCTAATGATTGAGAATTTGAAACATTTAAATTATTAGAAGCAAAATCTAGTACAAAATATTATCCAATTTTCCTGGAAAATTATCTATCTTGAAAAATGGCCATAAAAACAAACCATGAAACTGAAAATAAACCTCATTCAGTGTTTAGATCAAATCTTTAAAAGTTCATGGCTGTAACCCCAGCACTTTGGGAGGCTGAAGTGGTAGGATCACTTGAGCTCTGGAGTTTGAGACCAGCCTGGGCAATATGGCAAGACCTGTGGTGTCACCTACTTGGGAGGCTGAGGTGGGAGGACTGCTTGAGCCTGGGAGGTCTAGGCTGCAGTGAGCCATGATGGTGCCACTGCACTCCAGCCTGGGTGACAGTGAACTCTATCCCCCACCCCTGCCACCAAAAAATATTAATCAGATAAAAATTAAATGATAAAATTACATAGAAATTAGAATAACTGGTTATAATGATTAAATACAAAATTATTTTATTCTGTTAAGAAGCAAGCATTTGTAAGGTCAGAAATAAGACAGCAGTAGTATGCTGCCCTGAGCCCTCTTTGGAAAGTCAGCCCAGGCTTCTCCCTTCTCTAGGAAGAAGGATGCCTTAAGTGCTGGAGACCAGGGCAGAGCCTTGAATCAGGGGACCTTTCCTTTTATGAGTAGGAATTGAACTCCCTTGGTAAAGAAACAAAGATGAGATAAGGATAGAGACCTTAAAAGAGTTGCCAAGTTCTCACTCCACAGCGAAAGGCATTAGGAGTTCTCAAGAGCTCTATATTGGCAAATGCGTTTGTTTTTCCCCCACCCAGAGCAAGAGTACTTGAGAAGACTCATCAGAAAGCTGCGAGAATAAAAGAAAGCCAGCTTGAACTCTAGCCATACCCTGCCCTGACAGTCTGCAATGACAGAGCAATTTATTTTTACTAATCAACAACTCAGAAGGGGGAAAAGAAAAAGGAAGCACTGAGACCTCAGGATAGTAAGCAGAAGATACCAATGAACAACCCTCTCTTGGAATGAGTTTTGATGGGAAGGGAAGAAGACAGCGAACATAAAGGTAATTTGGGAGTCCTGAAGGTTGCAAAGGGGTGTATTGAGAAGAAAGATGAAAATATTAGTACCTAGAGTTAAAAACTAGAGACCAACCAGGACATGGTAATGATAAAGATGTAGGAAAGAAGGAAAGAAAACGGAAAAGAGACCAAACAAAACTGGTATAAAGTCTACAGGCCCAAAATGAGGCCCAGGAAAGAAATGGTATCCAGGGGAATAGTCTGGCACAAACTGATGTATAAGATTTTACACTTAAGTAAGATCTTTGGCTTCAATATCAATTTTAGAAGGCCCAAGCAGATAGACAGTTACGTGCCGCATAGTGATGTTGCAGTCAACAACGAAGCACAAACGTGACGATGGTCCCATAAGATTATTATACCATTATTTTCATAGCACCTGCCCTATGTTTAAGACACAAATACCTACCGTTGCGTCACAGCTGCCTATAGTATTCAGTATAGTAACACACTCGACTGGTTTGTAGTCTAGGAGCAATAGGCCATACCATCTAGCCTAGGTGAGTAGCAGGCTATACCACTTAGGTTGTGTAAAGTGACATGTGCACAGTGACTACTTCACAGAACATATCTCCATCTTTAAGTGATGCATGATTTTACTTAAAAGATGTCTTTCATTATCATGTAAATACATTATTCTATTTGCTGGAATAATTTAATAATTATTGTTCCTAAAGTTACTCATTTATATGAAATCAATCTACTATACTTCTTTAACTTAATACACAGTGGATATTGATACTGATTTTCTGAGGTTTTTAGTATTCTCTGATTTCTTACGACTTTTTTTTTTTTTTTTTTTTTTTTTTTTTAGCCCAGGCTGGGTTCAGTGGTGTGATCCTAGCTCACTGCAAACTCCACCTCCCGGGTTCAAGCGATTCTCCTGCCTCGGCCTCTCGAGTAGCTGAGATTAGACTTCATCCCTAAAATAATTATAACATTAATACATTGTTTTTGCTATTCTAAAATGCAATATATAAAATGAAAGAAGTATGCAGATCTTAGTTTCCTGATGTATAAAATCCAAGATTGGGTTATGTATTTAATTGTTATTCTGATTCTATATATTGGGAAACTTAAGGGAAAACCCACTACAAATGATACATTTTGAACATTCTCGAAAAGTAAAGTGACACATATTTTATGAAAAGACTGTAAGTGCTCAGATGCTGAACTTCTTAGGAATATCAGCAGCAAATACTGACTGGTTTTGTTTTCAGGCTTTGGTTTAATAACAGTCCTATTCCAAATACGGTGGTGAATAATAACAAAAACATCAATAAACAGATCAATTTTTAAAAAGGTAAATAGGGATGATTTGTATCTCTCCACCTTGTTCAATCTCAGATTCAGAAAGCTCCACAAAACATATTCATTACTTAATCCTACCTAAAATCCTACCTAACATGGCAAATACAACTTTTCACAAGTGATTTGTTTCTTCTCTTGCAGTGCTATTTGCCACTTTTACAAGCTGAAGTCATAAATCTTTCTAACCCTAAAATAATTCTCCTTTAGAATGATACCCAGCTGATCTCTCACAGGATTAAACATTGCTTCACAGTATGAGTTAGATAGAAGGAGACTGGTCCCCCCCTTTAAAAACCAACTCTACTTGCAGGTCACGATGTGGGTCCAATAAGACCGGTGGAGCCTGGATGGAGCAGACCTTTTCCAGAGGCCTGGAAAGCACTTTGTAGGATTGGCTTTTCAATTATTAACTGGTGAGTAATGCTTAAAAGTAGCAAACAGGTCCCCAGAGGTCAGAGATCCATACTGAATTCTGACGGTGAAAACTGGTTTTACTTTTTCGCGTAGAAAAATGTGGGTTTTTTTTTTTTCTTTTCCTCCTTTCTCTCTGGCATGCATATATACACACACACACACACACACAAGCAGAATTGTGCAAGTCATCTCTAAAGTGATTTAACACAGACTTCTGCTCTAAAAGTTTGTAAAACATGAGATATAAAATATTAAACATTGTCTCCAAGTTGTGCTGTCAGTTTATGTGAGACTCCTGCTGCTCATAACCAAAATTCTTAAGTCAATTTTAATAGGTAAATGTAACTAGTAAGGGACAAATGCTTTAATCTAGAAGGCCTAAAGTTGTTTGGATTAGTTTCTGATTAAGTTGCCAATGACATTTAACAAAATCATTTACTGCTTTTTCCTTTTTCAGTGAAAGAATTAAAAAACTAATTCCTTGTTAAAATAACACATTTTTTGGAATATATCAGTGAATAAAAGAACACATATTTATCAGATGCCTTCCCATGTGCCAGGCCCTGAACTAGGTGCTTTCTCAAAGTTAGTCCATGTGTTGATAGGCTCTATTACACTCGAGGTATTTCCTTGTCTCACAGGTGGGGAACCCTCAAATTTCCTTGAAAAACTATATCAAACAGAAAAGCCATATTGAGAAAAGCATTTAACAGGTACCTTGCTCACAGCAGAAGTTTATGATCACAAAAGAAGAGTGATTCAGGCATAAGCATGTAGGAGACTATTCTAAAAGCAGAAATATTCTCAATGATTTAAGTTTGAACCACAAAAAGTCTAGAAGGTGAGGCCTAGTTATAGTAGTCTCTATGTGCAGGATTTACATTTTTAAAAAATGATTTGGCTGGGCGCAGTGCCTCACGCCTGTAATCCCGGCACTTTGGGAGGCCGAAGCGTGTGGATCACCTGAGGTTGGGAGTTCAAGATGAGCCTGACCAACATGGAGAAACCCCGTCTCTAATTAAAAATACAAAAATAGCCGGGAGTAGTGGTGCATGCCTGTAATCCCAGCTACTCAGGAGGCTGAGGCAGGAGAATCGCTTGAACCCGGGAGGTGGAGGTTGCAATGAGCCGAGATCATGCCATTGCACTCCAGCCTGGGCACCAAGAGTGAAACTCCGTCTCAAAAAAAAAAAAAAAAAAAAAAAAAAAGATTTGAAGTCAGGGGAGCCTGAATTTGAGCCCTGGTTTGGTCAGTGGCCAGCTATGTGACCTGGCCTGCGACAAATTACTCAACTTCCTAAGAAGTGAACTCACTGTCTCTAAATGAGAGACAAGAAAAATAGTTATGCCTCCCTGAGTGGTTAGGACTAAATCAGACACTGCATTTAAAGCACTAAGTAGAATGCCTCATAGAGAGTAAACAATCATTTAATGGCAAGAATTACTTTTACTATTGTTATCTGTATAATTTGAAAAAAAAACTCCACCTGCATTTGACTGAAAAGAATCTTTTATGAATTATAAATTAGACTTTATTGCATATTGACATGAATAATTGCAGGTTGAAAATGAATGTAGAACTGCATCACTATACATTAAAAATTAACCCATCTGCTTCACATGGCTTCATCTGTCCCAAACTTGATTTGACACTCAACTTACTAGGCTTTATTGAGCACTTGAAGAATATTTAGGAAATATATAACATTTTGTGACATATTGAGTGACTTAAGATAATGTACTTATGTAACTTCTAAAATATTTACCTCAAAAACCTAAATTAACATTGTCTAAGAAGTTATTTAGGCCAGGCGTGGTGGCTCACGCCTGTAATCCCAGCATTTTGGGAGGCCGAGATGGGCAGATAACCTGAGGTCAGGAGTTGGAGACAAAACTGGCCAACATGATGAAACTCCACCTCCATTAAAAATAGAAAAATTAGCCTGGCGTGGTGGTGCATGCCTCTGGTCCCAGCTACTTGGGAGGCTGAAGCAGGAGAATCACTTGTACCCGGGAGGCGGAAGTTGCAGTGAACTGAGACCACGCCATTGTACTCCAGCCAGGGCAACGAGTGAAATTCCGTCTCAAAAAAAAAAAAAAAGTTATTTAATTATCAGTCAAGTCATTTAACAAAATATTTTTGAGACACTTCCATAAGGCAGTGTGACTGACTGCCGCCAACTCCTAATGAAATAAAACTCCTGTTGCCAGGTTACTTGAAGACTCATTCTTTGTATAAAACGCCCCTCATTAAGACTCTATATTCTATAAATAAATGTTCTTCCATGTTGCCAATATTTACAACTAACTTAACCTATTCACATATATCTTTTAAATTTCTGGTGTCTTTGAGGATGGGCAAACTGAAGGTTGGTGATACACAAGTAAGTGCAGAGAGAATCAACTGGACCTGGCAATTTTAAAAAAGACTTATGCCCAAAGTTACCTTCTTAAAAGATCATAATTGAGGATAACTTCTAAAAGTGAATGATCTAGTTCTCATAGAAAAGTATATGTGGGAGTATACAGTTCATTCATAAAATAGTGAAGCTTTCAGTTTGTATTCATGTATTAACTGTGGCTAAACACATTTTGGTTCTACTTTCCTTTTCCATATTTCTCTCCAACAACCTACTGCTTACATAAATGTCCTCTTGACCGTGTGACAAATTCACATATACGTGTTTAGGTAAGTAGCACCTCATGAAAATTTAAAGACAAGTCTTATTCTACTCGATATGCTCTATCCTAAAAACATCATGGTACTGGGGACAATTGCTTTAAGGCAAGAGTTTGGAACAGTGAAAATAGGCTT